>NT_167246.2:178623-479765 GCF_000001405.40 Homo sapiens
GGCCAACATGGAGAAACCCCGTCTCTACTAAAAATACAAAATTAGCCGGGCATGGTGGCGTATGCCTGTAATCCCAGCTACTCGGGAGGCTGAGGCAGGAGAATCGCTTGAACCCGGGAGGCAGAGGTTGCGGTAAGCTGAGATCTTGCCATTGTACTCCAGCCTGGGCAACAAGAGTGAAACTCCATCTCAAAAAAAAAAAAAAATATATATATATATATATAATATACGTATGTATATGTGTGTGTATATACATAGATATATATAATAGTTTTGTAAACTACAGTCACCCTACTGACCTATCAAACACTAGCTTTTATTTCTTCTATCAAACTGTATATTTGTACCCATTAATCAATCTCTCATCTCTCCTCCCTCTACCCTTCCTAGAAAAATTGTTAATTCTAACTGTGTGTATACATACACACACACACATACAGTTTTGTTAAATATTGAGAAATTCTCCTCCAAAAGGGTCATGATTTTGCATTCCTACCAGCCCACTGGCATATGAGTGTCTCTCCGACACTTCGTCAAAAGTGTATTAAGTTGAAAATTTTTGCTATTGTAACGAGTAAGAAATGGTATTTTAGTGTGGTTTTAGTTTGCATTTCTCTTATTATAAGTACAGCTGAGCATTTTTTCACATGTTCACAAAGCAATTTATGTCTTTTGCAGCTTGTCTATTTGTGCCTTCAACCCATTTTTCTCTAGAATTTTGGTCTTTTCTCTCGCAATACTTAAAAGGTCTTTTTATATTAGAACTATCACTTGTATTTGTGATATTTGTGGCAAATATTCAATTTTAATACTATCTTTTGACTGGTTACAATGTGTGTGCGCTTTTTTCTTGTACTAATACCAACAGCTTTAATTATATGGGCTTTAAAATATGGTGTAGTATCTAGTAGGGCCAGTTCTCCCTCAGAGCTCTTCTTTCACAGTGTAGCCTACCTATGTTTTTTTTTTTTTTTTAAGACAGAGTCTTGCTCTGTTACCCAGGCTGGAGTGCAGTGGTGCAATCATAGCTCACTGCAGGCTCAACCTCTTGGGCTCTAGTGATCTATCCCAGCTTTTTTTTTTTTTTTTGAGACAGAGTCTTGATCTGCCTCCCAGGCTGGAGTGAAATGGTGCGATCTCAGCTCACTGCAACTTCCACCTCCGGGTTCAAGAGATTCTCCTGCCTCAGCCTCCCAGGTAGCTGAGATTACAGGCATGTGCCACCACACCTGGCTAATTTTTGTATTTTTAATAGCGACGGGGTTTTGCCATGTTGGCCAGGCTGGTCTCAAACTCCTGACCTAATGTGATCCACCTGCCTCGGCCTCCCAAAGTACTGGGATTACAGGTGTGAGTCACTGCACCCGGCCTATCCCATAAAAATAAGCACATAATAATATGTGCTTATTTTATATGTGCATATTATTATGTGCTTATTTTTCTATCTGAAGTTGACTGTCAATTTGTCTAGATCCAGAAAAAGAGCTTGTTGGTATTTTTATTGAAATTGCAAGGGTGGGGGGGGGGGGATGAGGGATAACAGATTACTTAATGGGTACAACGTACACTGGGTACCTGGGTGATGGTTACACTGAAATCCGAGACTTCACTACATAATATATCCGAGTAACAGAAAAAAAAAAGAAACTGCATTTATGAATGTGAAGGACAACTTGCTTTCCCTGTCTTATCAAAGAATAAGTGATATCTCTTTATTTGTTCAAGTTTATTTTGTGTCTTTCAGGAATCTTTGAATGTTTTATAATTTTCTCCACATAGGTTTTTGTATATTTCTTATAAATTTATTCCCAGATATTTTATCACTTGTTTTTTTTTTGCAAATGGAAACAGCATGTTCTCTTCTAATATGTCTTCTAGTGGCTGCTATCTGGCATATGAAGGCTGCTGATTTCTGTATGTTAACTTCTTTCCCAATTTGTATACCTATAATTATTTTATTTAACTGAACTGGTTAGAACCTTTAATGCAGTGTTAAATAGAGATAAATGATACTGGGCATCCGGCCTGTTTCTGACCTCAATGGGAATGCCTCCAGTATTGCCCCATTAAGTAATATTTATCCTGCTTTTCCAGTGACTTCCAACATAAACACTTTTTGATATTCATGGAGCCCCTCCTCCCTTACTGAGTCCATGACTTCTTTCTTTCTCTCCTTTCCTCATCATCCACCTTCAGTTTCATGCTCCATCTGTTTAAAAAAATATTCTTAAAAAAAAAAAAAAAAAAAAAAAAGAAGCTTTAGACCAGGCGCAGTAGCTCACGTCTATTATACCAGCACTTTGGGAGGCCAAGGTAGGCGGATCACCTGAGGTCAGGAGTTGAAGACCAGCCTGGCCAACATGGTGAAACCCCATCTCTACCAAAAATACAAAAATTAGCTAGGTGTGGTGGTGTGTGCCTGTAATCCCAGCTACTCGGGAGGCTGAGGCAGGAGACTCACTCAGGAGGTGGAAGCTGCAGTGAGCTGAGATTGTGCCACTGCACTCCAGCCTGGGCAACAGAGTGAGACTTTGTCTAAAAAAAATTTAAAAAAAGGTTTTAAAGCCTTAATTATGGTGCTTGCTTCAGCAGCAGATATCCTCAAATGGGAACCATGCACAGATTAGCATGGCTCCTGCACAAGGATAACACACAAATTTGTGAACCATTTTCTACTTTTTGTGTTCAATGTTCACAGCAGCACTATTGACAATAGCCAAAAGGTGCAAACAACCAAAATGCCCATCGACTGATGAATAAACAAAACATATTATATATCCATACAATGGAATGTTATTCAGCCATAAAGAGAAATACTGAAACATATATATATGTACTGAAATATATATTTTTTCATATATATATTTTTTGAGATGGAGTCTCATTCTATTGCGTAGGCTGGAGTGCAATGGCACGATCTCGGCTCACTACAACCTCTGCCTCCCAGGTTCAAGTGATTGTCCTGCCTCAGCCTCCTGAGTAGCTGGGATTACAGGCATGCGCCACCACGCCTGGCTAATTTTTGTATTTTTAGTAGGGACGGGGTTTCACCATGTTGGCCAGGCTGGTCTCGAACTCCTGACCTCGTGATCTGCCCACCTTGGCCTCCTGAAGTGCTGGGATTACAGGCGTGAGCCGCCGCGCCTGGCCAGTACTGAAACATATTACAATATGAATGAATCTTTAAAAAAATATGCTAAGTGATAGGCCGGGCGTGGTGGCTCACACCTGTAATCCCAATACTTTGGGAGGCTGAGGTGGGTGGATCACCTGAAGTCAGGAGTTTGAGACTAGCCTGACCAACATGGGGAAACCCCGTCTCTACTAAAAATACAAAATTAGCCAGGGGTGGTGGCGCATGCCTGTAATACCAACTACTCGGAAGGCTGAGGCAGGAGAATCGCTTGAACCTGGCAGGCGGAGGTTGCGGTGAGCGGAGATCGTGCCGTTACACTCCAGCCTGGGCAACAAGAGTGAAACTCTGCCTCAAAAAAAAAAAAAAGTATGCTAAGTGAAGAAAAAGGCTACGTACTGTATGATTTCAATTATATCTAATATCTAGAATAGACTAATCCATAGAGCCAGGAGTTAGGGGTAGAAGGAAATGAGGAGTGATTGCTTAATAGTGTGAGGTTTCCTTTTGGGTGGTAAAAGTGTTTTAGATCCAGACAGTGGTTGATAATTTACAACACTGTGGATTTACTAAATGCTACTTTGTGCCAGAGTTTTACACTTTAAAATGGTGAAATTTAGGTTACGTATATTTTACAATTAAAAAAATGAAGAAGGCTGGAAGGCTGGATGTGGTGGCTCACACCTGTAATCCTAGCACTTTGGGAGGCTGAGGCGGATGGATTGCTTGAGCCCAGGAGTTCAAGACCAGCCGAGGCAACATGGCAAAACTCCATCTCTACAAAAATTACACAAATTAGCCAAGCATGGTGGTTTACGCCTGTAGTCCCAGCTACTTGGGAGGCTGAGGTGGGAGGATCATCTGAGCCTGGGAGGTCAAGGCTGCGGTGAGCCATGATCATGTCACTGCACTCCGACTGGGTTTCAGAGTGAGACCCTGTCTCAAACAACAACAATAAAAACTAAGGAAAAAAAAACACTCAAGTCCATCTTGCAAAACCCCAATCCTGGATGAGACTGACCATCTGCTTACTCAGTGCCCACGCCAGAGCAGTCAAGATTTGAGAAAGCAAAGCTGATAAGAAAGTTACACGACAGGGGCTGGGCACGGTGGCTCGCACCTGTAATCCCAGCACTTTGGGAGGCCGAGGCAGAAGGATCACCTGAGGTCAGGAGTTCAGGACCAGCCTGGCCAACATGGTGAAACTCCGTCTCTATAAAAAATACAAAAATTAGCTGGGCGTGGTGGCACACGCCTGTAATCCCAGCTACTTGGGAGGCTGAGGCAGGAGAATTGCTTGAACTTGAGAGGGGGATGTTGCAGTGAGCCAAGATTGCACCACTGCACTCCAGCCTGGGCAACAGAGCAAGAGTATGTCTTAAAAAAAAAAAAAAAAGAAAGTTACACAACAGGGCAGAATGGTTACACTATAAATAGATGTTCACTGACCAAATACTCCTACTAGTTCTCGCAAACCAACTGTCTTTCCCATACTCTGAAACAATCATTTCTTCCCATACAACAGAAGACTCTCTGACACTAATTCCTGGCATATGTACTTTAGTTCTCATTTCCACCTGCCTTCTCAGGAACCGCACATTGCTGATCAGTACATGGTTTCTTTCTTCCTTTCTTTTTTTTTTTTTTGGAGACAGGGTTTCGCTCATTGCCCAGGCTGGAATGCAATGGCGCAATCTCGGCTCACTGCAACCATCGTCTCACTGGTTCAAGCGATTCTCCTGCCTCAGCCTCCTGAGTAGCTGGGATTACAAGCATGTGCCACCACACCCGGCTAATTTTGTATTTTTAATAGAGATGGGGTTTCTCCATGTTGGTCAGGCTGGTCTCAATCTCCCGACCTCAGGTGATCTGCCCACCTCGGCCTCCCAAAGTGCTGGGATTACAGGCATGAGCCACCGTGCCCGGCCAGTATATGGTTTCTTGTGGCTTCAGTGTTCTCCCTCACCTAGAAACCTTACAACATATACTCCTTTCCATATGTATTTTGAAAATATGTCTAACTTCTAGTTTCTTTAACCAACCCTTCCAGATAAAACTCCATAATCCTGTCTCGTCTCTAAGTATTTTATTACAACCCCTTAACAGTTGTACTTGAAATAGTCATCTACTTGTGTAGTCTCCATTCACCTGACCTAGTCACTACTCAACTCCCCCTAATGTGGCTCCTGCCCCAATTATTCCATTGTGATAGTTCTACCTAAGATCACCAATGATGGTCATGTTATTGAATCAAATGGGTATCAGCTTTGATATTATTTGACCTCAACTGCATTACTATGCTGTCCACTCCCTTCTTGCTTCGTCTCAAAAATAAAAAAAGAAAAAAAGAAAGAAAGAAATACATTTTTCTGATTTTTACCATTTAAAAATGTAAACTGGCCTGACGCTGTGGCTCACACTTGTAATCCCAACACTTTGGGAGGCCGAGGAGGGCAGATCACGAGGTCAGGAGTTTGAGACCAGCCTGACCAATATGGTGAAACCCCGTCTCTACTAAAAATACAAAAATTAGCCAGCCATGGTGGTGTGCGCCTGTAATCTCAGCTACTCAGGAGGTTGAGGCAGGAGAATCGCTTGAACCCAGGAGGCGGAGGTTGCAGTGAGCCAAGATCGCACCACTGCACTCCAGCCTGGGCAACAGAGCAAGACTCAATCTCAAAATAAATAAATAATATTAAATTAAAATTAAAATGTAAAAACCATACTTATTGCCCAGGACATACAAAAACAGGGGATGGACCATAATTTGCTGACCCTTGCCCTATGCCATCATCCATTTTTATTTTTATTTTTTATTATTTATTTATTTTTTTGAGACAGAGTCTCGCTCTGTTGCCCAGGCTGGAGTACAGTGGCGCGATCTTGGCTCACTGCAACCACTTCCTCCTGGTTTTGGGCAATTCCTTGCCTCAGCCTCCCGCGTAGCTGGGACTACAGGCACACCGCCATGCCTGGCTAATTTTTGTATTTTTAGTAGAGACGGGGTTTCCCCATCTTGGCCAGGCTAGTCTTGAAGTCCTAGACCTTGTGATCCACCCGCCTCGGCCCCCCAAAGTGCTGGGATTACAGGTGTGAGCCACTGCACCTGGCCCGCCATCATCCATTTTTAATGGCTTTTATCAAATACCTATAAGAACTATCTGATCGCCACACTAAAATATAATTCAGGAAAGCTTATTTGGCACTTAATCCCAGTGCCTAGAATAGTGCCTGACACAAAGCAAATAATTAATACGCACTGAATGAGCAAACGACAGACAGGCATTAGCTCATTTCCTGTAGTCTTGCCGGGGTAGGTCTGCTGCAGCTTTATCACCTGCTCTACCAAGGTTAAATCACAGGACTGCTCAGGTAACCTAACCACTCCTGCTCAAGTGCTCATTGTTTTGTGGCTATAGTAATACATTAAAACTACAGGATACTGGAGTGAGGAGAGTCTTTGAATGACATGTGGTCTAAGCCCCTCATTACTGAACAAATGAGGTCACTGAGGCCCAAAAAGGTTGAGAGCCTTGCCTGTAATCAGACCACTTGTCAGTGCTGTGTAGGCACAAGCACCAGGTCTTCTTTTTGCCATTTCTATGAGACAACGCAATTGACTAATTCAAGTTGTGTGAACCAGAACTTCTAGTTTACACAGTTTCCTTCCAAGGTGCACAATATAGAGTTTGGCAAGCTCTTGCTATTCCTGCAGAGTTAAAAAGAAGACAGGGGGTCCTGGATACTACTTGGCAAAGGAGAAGGGACGATATTTTCAGTGGGTGCTGCTCTAGCAGGGCTCTGCAAGCCTTACCTGCAGGAGCTCCCTGGTGGGCTGCTGCTGCTTCTCTTCTAGCTGAGCGATCAGGCTGCTGAGGTGGGAGATGTTGCAAGAGAACTGGGTGATGGCACCATTGATGCTATTGTAGATGGCCAAGTCTAGCTCCTCAAGGCGGGCCAGGAGGCGATACTCATGCTCCTTTAAGGAGTGATACAGCTGCTCAAACTCCCAAACAATCTTCTCCCTCTCCATCTGGGTTAGGCTCTATGCAGACGACAGGGAAAGGCAGTAAAGAGAAAAACGGCTCATTTCTAGGGCCTTCATAGTTCTCCTGTGACCATGTAGCCCAAGACCTCATTATGGATTAAAACAAGCACAGTGCTAACTCATTATTTCCAGTCTTTACTGACTGGATATATAATGCCCAGGAACTGAATTACCCCAGTGATTATTAAGACATAGTCCCTGTTCTCAAGCAACTCAGAGAAGTGAGTCAGGTTCATATGATATACATAGTCATGGATGGGTAATTAAAGATAGGGTGACAGCCTGCAATGAAAGAAACTGGTACCATCTTCACAGAAGCAATTTCACACAATGTTCATGTGATGAACAAGAATTCACCACATAGGCAATGAGCGGGAAGCCTTTCCAGGCAGAAGAAATGGCACAGGCAAAAGAGTGGGGAGAGAAAGCAAATGGTGCTATCTGGCTGGAGCACATGAGTGTTGAGGGAAGGGACCAGAAAAGGTAAGGCCTTGTCATGCCTGGCCTGGGAGGCTGGGGGTAAGGACTCTATCCCAACTGGGAAGCATGGAAGATTGTCACACAGGAAAGTGACAGGGTCAGATATGTGCCCTATGGAGGATGGAACAACCAATAACAGCTTCCTTGCCCAATTTCCCTGGGCCCTTCATATGTAATCCATACCCGCTGTCTGTCCTTCACGGGTGTTCACCAACTGCTGTCTCTAGCTTTGGGTAGGAGGGGGAGAGGTGCTCTCCCCACGATTCCCTCTTGGCGCTCATTTGTTTGCCATAATTTACTGTCCTTCGTTCTTCACCCAACCCCCACCACCAACAGGACTCTATTATAAACTTTTGTTCTAAACAAGGAGCCAGGCTGGGCGCGGTGGCTCACGTCTGTAATCCCAGCACTTTGGGAGGCTGAGGTGGGCGGATCACCTGAGGTCGGGAGTTCGAGACCAGCCTAACCAACATGGAGAAACACCATCTCTACTAAAAATACAAAAATTAGCTGAGTCTGTTGGCGTACGCCTGTAGCCTCAGCTACCTGGGAGGCTGAGGTGGGAGAATCGCTTGAACTGGGAGGCAGAGGTTGCAGCGAGCCAAAACCTCACCATTGCACTCCAGCCTGGATGACAGTGAGACCCTGTCTTAAAAAAAAAAAAAAAAATTCCCATATACCCCTAATATAAATTAACACATCAGCCACTTGTTAAGGCCTTGAGACTGGAGGAAGAGGGCAGAGTAAAAAATTCAGAATTAAGGCATTGTTAAGAAAGGAGAATAAGCCAAAGAGAAGCAACAGTGGGGATTACACAAATCCACTATTAGCAATTGTCTGCAGAATGGTACCAACGCAAGCTAACTGTATCCAATAATTTTACCTATCTCAGCTTTGCCAAGGATCAACCCTGGTCTACGCAGTTAGCAGGTTAAAGTAAACTGACAGGTCTGATTTCCAAGGGTTCCAAACTTGGCTTCTCCATGCTTTCCCCAAAAGTAAGGGAATCTTAGTTCTCCGGGTGAGTTCCCACTGCCATGTGCGGTTGATCCACCTCTACCTACAAGTTCTGGGTGACATGCTGGACAAGTTTAAGGGAAGTAACATCAGCTCTACAGAAGAGGAGAGCACCAGCAGAACCAACTGTGAATTCCAACAACCCTTACCAAGAGTTCAGCTCGTGCCTGTTCCCCCTGGGCCCGACGTCTCTTCTTTAAATCTTTCACTCTTTTTAAATGGTCGAGCTGGTTCTGGATTTGCTCCTGAGAAAAGCAAAACAGATGGGCAGTTCAAAATTAGGTAGACCTTAGCATCAGCATGGTACTTCTTATCACACATGGAGTCCACACACCTGATGCCAAGTCTCCAGTTGGCGCTTGTCCTTAGGCCACACTGCCACCCACAAGAGACTCAGGGCGCAGGGGCAAACAAGCCACTCCTTTGGCAATCTGTGTCTATCTTAGCAGCCTGTGGCTTCAACCACTCAGCTACCTCGTCAGGACTATTTGTGTCTATCTTAAACAATGAGTCATCTACCTGTCCCTGGTAGGATATTGCATGACTTAGCGGAACTGTGACTGGAGTAGGAGGCTTAGAACTATGTTGTATTGTAGCTCTTCCATATAGGTACACTGTGAAAGTGACTTATTTCCCTCATGTGTGAAATGGGCAAACACCATCTTCCCAACCTACTCAAGAGTTCTCACCAGAGTGAGTGAAATAATATAGCTGAAAGGTCCATAAATGTTAAGTGATTGCACATGAATGTACTCATATTTAAACACGGACATAATTGTGTACGCATTCCTGAAGCCCTCAACGTACAGAAAATACACAGTATCATGGACTCCTTGAAGGTCACCTTACAACTGTTTTATATGTAATACTTTGTTTCCACGTTTCTGTTTAGCTGTGCCAGTTCACAAAGGGCTCTGTGAGTCACATGATTCCACAATATTCCTCATAACTGTGTTATCTCCTGAGTCTCAGAGTGGTTAAGTGACTTACTCCAGCAGCGAAAAGCTGTTCTTTTCTGTGAGTTTCTAGACCAGGACGGATTGCAGGAAAGTGCTGGGGAAATGCTTATAGACTAAGGAATGGGCATAAGTCAGTTAACGTCCAACTGCGTTTTGTCTGAGAGCCGATGGGAGTAAGAGTGTCTGCAGCTTGTCGATGTGTACGCGGTTTTATGCACTTCTTTTAAACTGTCAAAAGGATGTCTCCGTGTACAATGTGTCCGTGAGACAGGTAACATGGGGGTAAACAGAGAAAAGAGAGTGGGGGTGGGGACACTCCTGGCTTCCTCGCCAGCTACAGGTTTTCCTCCAAATCTGAGTGCTGAGGCTCTGGAGCGGACAGAGAGGAAATGACGGCTGTGAACCACACGTCCGGCTCAGCCATTTTCTAGGCGGAAAAAAGGAAGCCCCTTTGGCTCTCTCCTCCCTTTGTCCGACTCGCGCTCCCGCCCTCCCGGATCCGCGCCCTCACCTTGAAGCCCTCCACCGCCTCCTCGAGCGGCAGCACGCTGTGGCCGCGGTGCTCGCGGGAGCGGTCGCACACCACGCAGATGGGCATCTGGTCCTCCTCGCAGTACAGCTTCAGGGGCTCGCGGTGCTTCTCGCACACGCCCATCTCGCCGCCGGGCCCCGACGGCCGCTCGGTGCGCAGCTGCTTTACCAGTTGGGTCACGTTGGCCAGGTGCCGGTTGGGCCGCATGTGCCTCTGCGGGAAGGTCTCCCGGCACTGCGGGCACGACACGTTAGTCTCTGCCGTGCCCCAGCAGCGGGCGAGGCACGCGCAACAGATGTTATGGCCGCAGTCGAGCATCATGGGCTCTGCGAAGTACTGCAGGCACACGGGGCAGGTGGTCTCCTGCTGCAGGCACTCGGCCACACTCCCGGAGGCCATGGCGCCGGCCTGCGGGGGCGCACGGGCATGGGCCCCGGCGCCGAGCTCTGCACTGAGCCCAACTCTCCGGCGCTCTCTCCGGTTCGCTGTTCCTGAGAGGCACCGGGCGGACGGAGGGCGGCGCCTCCCGGGCCCGTATCCCAGACGCGCCCGCGCACCGAAGGCTTGGAGTGGCCGGGCCGATGCCTGCGCCTGTGCCCCCTAAGCGAGAGCGGGAATACGGCCGGCTCACCGAGGCTCGCGGCCACGCTAGTGGGGCAGGAAAGGGTAGCCGAGGGTCAGAGTCCCAGGGCCAGGCGGGCAAAGCGCGCAAGACAACGTGGCCGCGTCCGAGCGGATGCCGGCGGCAGCGTAAACCCCACCCCAGCGCGAGCGGAAGAGGCGGCTCGCGGGGGCGGGGCTTGGCTCGCGCTTCCAGCGAGTGACAAGGTTTCGTGGCCTGGGGGCCTGAGCTGTTTCCTCTTGGAAAGGCCGAGGAGGCTCCGCCACTCTCCTTTGGACTGGTCGCGCTGAAGCTCTATCCTAGGGCACTGGTCGCAAGAG
Organism: Homo sapiens; assembly: GCF_000001405.40. Taxonomy (NCBI): domain Eukaryota; kingdom Metazoa; phylum Chordata; class Mammalia; order Primates; family Hominidae; genus Homo; species Homo sapiens. The sequence continues at coordinate 189,735 of NT_167246.2, forward strand.
CAGATGGTGCCACACGCTCCGGGCCTACAAACTTCAGCGGCTGCCGGGCCCGGGCCCCTCGTCTTTTGTTGGGTTTCCTCTTGGTGCCAGGTCTCAGCCCCTGCAAAAGAAAGCTGGCTTTGGCCGCGCGCAGTGGCTCGCGCCTGTAATCCCAGCATTTGGGAGGCCAAGGCAGGTGGATCACGAGGTCAGGAGATCAAGACTATCCTGGCCAACATGGTAAAACCCCATCTCTACTACCAATAGAAAAATTGGCCGGGCGTGGTGGCAGGCGCCTGTAGTCTCAGCTACTCAGGAGGCTGAGGCAGCAGAATCCCTTGAACCCAGGAGGCGGAGGTTGCAGTGACCCGAGATCGCCACTGCACTCCAGCCTGCGGGACAGAGGGAGACTCTGTCTCAAAAAAAAAAAAAAAAAAAAAAAAGAAACGAAAAAATGAAAGCTGGCTTTGTATAGGTGCTGGGGAGCGCAAACACCTGGCCTCCCCAAGAGGCTGGAGGATGAGGAGGGTCACCGACTGAGCCCACCTGATAAGTGAGGCCTTTTATTAAACAGCCCCATTTGTAGGCACTTGCAGTTTTGTTTAGAAAAAGAAAGGTTTAATTATCAGATGGTAACATTTCTGTGTGTCAATAACAAGCCCAGTTCTGCTACCTCTCACTTGTGCCCAAGCAAGTTGGTTTACCATTCATTTACCTCAGTTTCTCCTCGTGTGAAATGGGGATGATAATTGTACCGCAGTAAGAAGTAGATTTCGTTACATCTTTTACTTTTTGAACCATAAGATTGTTTATCCATTAAAATGGTATTAAAATGCCCACTACGTAGGGTTGTTGTATTGAGTAGCAACTAAAAATTGCTTGCTCCTTTCTGAAGTATAGAGAAACTAAGAATCCTGCGGTGACCCAGGGTCTTGGAGTCCCACAATACTCATTGTCTTATCATCCAGTAGACCTCCAGCATTTTTAAGTTGCTTTCTTATCCCTTACTTGGTGTTTCCTAGTTTTCTTTGAGATTTTCTCAATATTGTCTTGCTATCTGAGCAAGGCGGGCTTCTGCTTCCAGACCATCACTTTATTTTTATTTTTTCAAAGTGAAAGTAAGATTATTAAGAAAATAAAGGAATAAAGAATGGCTACTCCGTAGGCAAAGCAGCCCACATCATCACTTTAGAGAGTTCCACTCTGGTCCTCTTCCCCATGGGACAAGAAGTCTGAGGGATTAAGTGGACTTGCCAGCCCCAAACCCACATCTACCTTCTCAACCATACTCTGAGTACCCAGTCATTCAAATTCCAGTCCCAAATAGCTTTAGCCCATTTCCAGAAAAATGTAGAGTACTTGGGCCAGGCCACACCACAGTCTGGTCTTGGTTTGAGATTGGGTCAACAATGAAATTTGTAAGAATTAAAGGATATGTCTATTCTCATTTACTCCAAAAAGGACTAATAAGCATTGCAATACAGTGCAGAAATATGAGAGATATGGATAGGTAGATAAAGCTGCCCTTCATCTTCTCCTTTACTTGGGGGATGCAAGCCTTGAGTTTGGCTTTGTTTTTCAGAATTGATTGTGTTTATCTTACCAACCCTTTATTACCTCTGGAGGCAGGTGACCTGGGGGTAAAGAAAGGTAGAACAGGCAGGGTGTGGTGGCTCATGCCTGTAATCCCATCACTTTGGGAGGCTGAGGCGGGTGGATCGCTTAAGCCCAGGAGTTCAAGACCAGCCTGACCAACATGGTGAAACCCCGTCTCTACCAAAAATACAAAAACTCGATGGGCACAGTGGTGCACACCTGTAATCCCAACTACTCTGGAGACTGAGGCTGGAGAATCACTTGAGCCTGGGAGACAGAGGTTGCAGGGAGCCGAGATCAGGCCACTGCACTCCAGCCTGGGCAACAGAGCAAGACTCCGTTTCAAAAAAGAAAACAAAAGGAAAAAATTTTAAAAAGGTAGAACAAAATAGATGAGTTGGGTAGAACAAGGTGGGAGTGGGGGAAAGGGAATATTTACATTAGCAATCTCTAACAGTCCCCTTCCTTTTTTTTAATTTAAAAAAGTTACACCTGTCTTTTTCTCAATAAATTTTGTAAGAAAAAAGAAATTTTAAGAGATGGGGTCTTACTATGTTGCCTAGGCTAGTCAAGAACTCCTGGGCTCACGTGATCGTGACCCTCCCATCTCAGCCACCCAAAGTGAGGGGATTACAGGCAGAAGCCACCATGCCCAGCCCCTCTTCCTTGAGTGTTTACTGTCTTCCCTTCATCATCCAGATTTCATGGAATTTTGATTTGCTTAATTTACCTGTTCATGTTAATTTCTATTACTAATCCTAACCTATATTATTGCACCAGTGTGTCAGTTTACAAGTATTTTTCAAAGAATCGGTAGCCGTGCAGCCTTCCCATTAATTTCTCTATTTGTACTTTTTCACTGATTCAAATACCACCTCAAGGAATAGAATCATCCTTAAAAATTCTTAAAGAAGAAAATGCTTTTCATTCTGTCGCTTCTTACTCAGACATCTTCAAAGTTTTGTGGGTTTTTTGTTGTTGTTGTTTATTTGTTTGTGTTTGCCTCTGGGACATTGTCCAAATTCTTTAGTATAAAGGCCTAATAAAATTCTTATTAATAGGCCCGGTAGCTCACGCCTGTAATCCCAGCACTTCCGGAGGCTGAGGTGGGCGGATCCCGAGGTCAGGAGATCATGACCAGCCTGGCCAACACAGTGAAACCCCGTCTCTACTAAAAATACAAAAATTAGCCGGGCATGGTGGCGCACACCTGTAGTCCCAGCTACTCAGGAGGCTGAGGCAGGAGAATCGCTTGAACCTGGGAGGCGGAGGTTGCGGTGAGCCGAGATCGCGCCACTGCACTCCAGCCTGGGCGACAGAGCGAGACTCCGTCTCAAAAAAAGAGTATTAATAAAATATACTTTTTTTTTTTTTGAGACAGAGTCTCGCTCTGTCGCCCAGGCTGGAGTGCAGTGGCGCGATCTCGGCTCACCGCAAGCTCCGCCTCCCAGGTTCACGCCATTCTCCTGCCTCAGCCTCCTGAGTAGCTGGGACTACAGGCACCCGCCACCATGCCCGGCTAATTTTTTGTATTTTTTTTAGTAGAGACAGGGTTTCACCGTGTTAGCCAGGATGGTCTCAATTCCCTGACATCGTGATCCGCCCTCCTCGGGCTCCCAAAGTGCTGGGATTACAGGCGTGAGCCACCGCGCCCGGCCTAAAATATACTGTTTTAGGGACAGGCACAGTGGCTCACGCCTATAAACCCACTCTGGGAGGCTGAGGCGGGCGGATGACCTGAGGTCAGGAGTTTGAGACTAGCCTGGCCAACATGGGAAGCCCCGTCCCTACTAAAAATACAAAAATTATCCACGCATGGTGTCGCATGCCTATAACCTCAGCTACTCGGGAGGCTGAGGCAGGAGAATCGCTTGAACCTGGGAGGCAGAGGTTGCAGTGAGCCAAGATTGCGCTATTGCACTCCAGCCTGGGCGACAGGAGCGAGACTCTGTCTCAAAAAATAAATAAAATAAAATATACCGTTTTAAAATGAATTTCCTCCTGCCTCCTCTAAACCTCCCTGCCCTAAGGGAACGAGTGACTTTTACTAGTATTGGCCAAATCCAAGGGACACTTTTCAGTCTTCATCTTAACATCTCGAAGGCATTTTATGTGGAGTCCTAATCAGGGAAAAGGAGTCAGGCTGGTGGGACCAGGGGAAAGCAAAGATAAAGCAAACAAGTGATAGGTCTGCTTTTTTTATGGCCCAGGGCACATGGCCCTCCTGTACATAACTCACAAACTTCCTGCTTACCATCAAACGCCTCGATTTATCAAGCACCTTGGCTGACAGAAGAATGCGGGTTAAGCTTCCTGCTACCTTAGCGTTATCAATCAGTCCAAGTTCCATTGTATAAAATCCCTAGCAAGTCTTTGTTTCTTTGTAGTCAGCTTCTCTTCTGTTGATACTGCCTGTTGTCTCCCTGGCAACATATTTTTCTACTTTCTCTAATAAATCTGCCTTTCTTTACCTACAATGGTCTTGGTAAATCTTTTCCCCCTACACCACAGGCCCAGTTAGTCGTCACTTACCTGTGACATTTTACACTGTTGATCCCTCCCTCCTTGGATCATTCTTCTTCCAAGCAGCAAACTGAGTGGGACCTGATGAGGCCTAAAGTATTTCTGCTTCTTCTATCTCCTTCTCTCTTATCTGTCTTTTACCAACTGATACTAACCTTAGTCTGGAAAAATAAAAAATTATCATAATAAATACAAGAATACAGTACTTAAGAAGCCAACGTATTAGATGAGACAGAATGGGAAATGGAGAAAAAGACAAAATATCAATAAGAATTTAACATTAATATAAGGTCCGGGCGCGGTGGCTTATGCAGGGTAATCCCAGCACTTCGGGAGGCCACGGCTTGAGTTTAGGAGTTTGAGACCAGCCTGGGCAACATGGTGAAACCCAGTCTTTACCAAAAATACAAAAAATTAGCTGGGTGTTGCGGCGTGCACCTGTGGTCCCAGCTACTGGGGAGGCTAAGGTGGGAGGATCCCTTGATCCCAGGAGGCAGAGGTTGCAGTGAGCCGAGATTGCACCACTGCACTCCAGCCTGGGTGACAGAGCCAGACCCCATTTCCAAAAAAAAAAAAAAAAAAAAAAAAAAGAATTTAGTACAAGATACAGGAGAAATTGCAGGTTGGTGCTATACATTCAATAAATGATTGTGGAATAACTGGCTAGCTACTTGGGAGAAAAAAGATCTCATCTCACTTCTTATACTGAACTATATTATTGATCAATGAAATTTTTTTAAGAAAATTAATCCATAAAAATTCCAGGAAAAAGAAAACTGATTGATTTTTTTTAAGGCACTTGTCATCTGGAAGATCTTTCTAAACATGACCCCACAGAAGTCACAAATGGATAAATTTGGTTATACAGAATTCAAAATTAGATGTCTTCTTATAAAAAAATTTTCTAAACAGCTGAATGATAAAGGAAAATTGGGGAAAGATGTTTTTAGCAAATTAAACAAAGGATGAATTTCCTTGAGACAAAATATTTGCACAAATAAAAGCAAAAAAAGAGAGAAGAAAAATGAGCAAAGGTCATGAACAGATGGTACAGAGAAAAAGAACAAATGGTCAATAAACATGTGAAAAGAGGTGATGTTAATTTTAATTTATGAGATTAGCAAAGATTTAAAACTTTGACAGTATTCAGTATTAATGAGAATGTGAGGAATTCCAGTACACTGTGAGAATGTAAATTGGGAGAACACCATTGAAAGCAATTTGACAATTGGGCTGGGCGCGGTGGCTCACGCCTGTAATCCCAACACTTTTGGGAGCTGAGGCGGGTGGCTCACCTGAGGTCAGGAGTTCGAGGCCAGCCTGACCAACACGGAGAAACTCTGTCTCTATTAAAAATACAAAATTAGCTGGGCGTGTTGGCGCATGCCTGTAATCCCAGCTACTCAGGAGGCTGAGGCAGGAGAATAGCTTGAACCCGGGAGGCAGATGTTGCGGTGAGCCGAGGTCACGCCATTGCACTCCATCCTGGGTGACAAGAGCAAAACTCCATCTCGATTAAAAAAAAAAAAAAGTAAAAGAAAACAATTTGACAATCACTAAAAAAATTTAAATGCACTCACTCGTAGAACCTTCTACTCTGCTTCTCTCCCATCTGGACAGAGATGTTTGATTATACAAGGATTGCCATTACAGCATTGTTTGGATTTGTAAAATACCGGGACCAACGTCAATATGCTCCAACAGGGGATAAGTTAATGAAAATATTATGCAGGTGTACAATGAAATGCTATGCAGTTTCCAAAAACAAAAACAAAGAAGAAGGAGGAGGAGGAAGAAGAAGAGGAAGAGGAGGAGGAGGAGGAGGAAGAAGAAGAAGAAGAAGGAGGAAGAAGAAGAAGAAGAAGAGGAAGAAGAAGGAGAAGAAGAAAAAGAAGAAATAATCTAATAGGGAAAGGTGTCTGAGATTTATTTACTCATTAATTTATTCAACAAATGTTTGTTGAGTGTCAACTATGTGCCAGTCTTCTAGATTCCAGGACACTGTGTGGAACAAAACAGACAAGGTTGCTGGGGTCATGGAATTACTTTCTAGAGGGAAAGTTGGATGATAAGCAAACCAAGCAATAAACACATGGTATGAAACATGCCATAAAGTGGAATGAATCAGAATATGGAAGATGAAGAGTGATGGTTATTACTTTATATTGGGTCATCAGGGTGGAATCTCTCTGATGAGGTAGCCAAACAGCTGCTGCAGTTTAGAGTCTCAAATTTGCATGTCACTGGGCATTTATCTCAGAGAAATAAAAATGTTTGTTCACCCAAGAATCTGCACAAAACATTGTTCGTAATAGCCAAGCCTAGAAATAATTCAAATGTCCTCGAATGGTGAAGAGTTAAACAGTGGCACATCCATATTATGAAATACTACCCAGAGATAAAAATGAATGAACTACTGAGATAGGCAGCAACTTGGATAGATCTCAAGGAAATTATGCTGAGTGAGAAAAGTCAATCTCAGGTTGTGATTTGTATGATTCCATTAATAACATTTATTTATTTATTTATTTATTTATTTATTTATTTATTTATTTATTTTTGGGAAAGAGTCCCACTGTGTTACTCAGGCTGGAGTGCAGTGGGACAATCTCGGCTCACTGCAGCCTCTGCCTTCCGGGTTCAAGTGATTCTCCTGTGTCAGCCTCCGGAGTAGCTAGGATTAAGGCATGTACCACCATGCCCAGCTATTTTTTTTTTTTTGTATTTTTAGTAAACACGGGTTTTCACCATATTGGCCAGGCTAGTCTCCAACTCTTGACCTCAAATGATCCACCTACCTCGACTTCCCAAAGTGCTGGAATTACAGGAGTGAGCCGCTGTGGCCAGCCCACAACATTCTCGAAATGATAAAATTATAGAGATAGAGAGCAGATGAGTAGTTGCTAGGCATTAGGGAGAGAGAAGGGAAGGAGGTGTCTGTGGCTATAAAAGGGTACCCTGAGGGATCCTTGTGATGGAACAGTTTTGTATCTTGACTGTAATGTTGTTCCTATGTGATATTTACACATGCAATAAAATTGTATAGAACTAAACACACACAAACAGATGAGTGTATGTAAAAATGGTGAAATCTGAGTAAGATTGGTGGATTTTATCAAAAATAATTTCCTGGTGTGATATTGTACTATATTTATGCAAGATGTTACCATTGGGAGAAACTGAGTGAAGGGTATGCTGGATCTTTATTTTTATTTTATTTTATTCTTTTGGAGACAGAGTCTTGCTCTGTCGCCCAGGCTGGAGTGCAGTGGCATGATCTTGGCTCACTGTAACCTCCGCCTCCTGGGTTCAAGCAATTCTCATGCCTCAGCCTCCCAAGTAGCTGGGATTACAGGCATGTGCCACCATGGCTAGGTAATTTTTGTATTTTTAGTAGAGACAGGGTTTTGCCATGTTGGTCAGGCTGATCTTGAACTCCTGGCCTCAAGCAATCTTCCCTCCTCTGCCTCCCAAAGTGCAAGGCTTATAGGAGCGAGCCACTGCACCCAGCCACTGAATCTTAATTACATCCTATAACTGTATGTGAATCTACAATTATGTCAAAATAAATTTTAAAAAATTTCTGCAGTCACAGCATCAATGACTTGTCTTTCCCAGCCAGCAAAGCCCTGTGTTTTGCTCTTATTGATTGGACTAATCCCTGTGGACAGAGAAATTCATGTGCCAGTTGGCTTAGGTTTGGTTTTACTACCTATTCCTGAACCAATTACTATGGCAAGGGGACTGAGATAATGCTCACTGGTCTATGCATCAAGACCCACTGAAAAATGTAATTGTCATTAGTCATCTAAATATAATTTATTTTTGAATTGGTTATGTGCTTCCCAACATTTAGCTATATTCTATTTCCTGGGGATAAAATCTTTGAAGACAGTGGGAGGAAAAGCTAATCTGACCCCTTCTTTCAAACAGCAAGGGGTTGAGGATTTCCTTGATTTTAACACAGGCATTTTGAATATGAGCAGACCATGCCTGGTAAACACACTAGACAAGATTCCTGCCCTTATGGAGCTGACAGGCCACTGGGGGCTGGATGGAGGCCGAGATGGTAGCTGTCTCCAAGATAGTCACTATCTTAGAGACCTCTCATATGCACATGACATTGGATCACCAAGATATGTAAGCTGGGCATCATGGCACATGCCTGTAGTTCCAGCTACTTGGGAGGCTAAGGTGGGAGGATTGCCTGAGCCCAGGAGTTTGAGGCTGCAGTGAGCTATGATCATGCCACTGCACTCCAACCTGGGCGACAGAGTGAGATCCTCATCTTAAAAAAAAAAAAGGCCGGGTGCGGTGGCTCGCACCTGTAATCCCAGCACTTTGGGAAGCCAAAGCAGGCAGATCACCTGAGGTCAGGAGTTCAAAACTAGCCTAAGCAACATGGAGAAACCCTGTCTCTACTAAAAATACAAAATTAGCTGGGCATGGTGGCGCATGCCTGTAATCCCAGTTACTTGGGAGGCTGAGGCAGGAGAATCACTTGAACCTGGGAGGTAGAGGTTGCAGTGAGCCAAGATCACACCATTGCACTCCAGCCTGGGCAACAAGAGTGAAACTCTGTCTCAAAAAACAAACAAACAAACAACAACAACAACAGAAAACAGGGTGCAGCCCACTCCTCCAGCCCCTTGAATCTGGTGGGCTGGCCTATGAGTACTGTGACTAACACTGTATGGCAGAAGTGATTCTATACCAGTGCCAGGCCAGGGCTGTAAGAGGGCTGACAGCCCCTGTCTTGTGTCTCTGAGTCCTGAGACACCATAGATATGTCTTTATTAGTCTCCTCAGGCTGGCATACAAAATACTAGATGGCTTAAAAAACGGGAATTTATTTGCTCACATTTTATTTTCTGGATACTGGAAGTCCAAGATCAAAGTCTGCAGGGTTGGTTTCTCCTGAGGTCTCTCTCCTTGGCTCGCAGGCAGCCGCCTTCTGACTATGTCCTCACATGACCTTTTCTCTGTGTGCATGCACCTCTGATGTCTCTTCTTCTTCTTATAAGGACACCAGTATTATCAGCTTAGGGCCTCACTCTTATGACATCATTTATCCTTAATTGTCATCCCTATAAAGATCCTATCTCCAGGCAGTCGCGGTGGCTCACGCCTGTAATTCCAGCAATTTGGGAGGCCGAGGCAGGTGTATCACTTGGGGCTGGGAGTTCAAGACCAGCCTGGCCAATATGGCAAAAGCCTGTCTCTACTAAAAATACAAAAATCAGCTGGGCATGGTGGTGCACACCTGTAATCCCAGCTACTCAGGAGGCTGAGACAGGAGAATCACTTGAACTCAGGAGGCAGAGGTTGCAGTGAGCCAAGATTGAGGCACTGCACTCCAGCCTGGGCAGCAGAGCAAAACTCTATCAAAAAAAAAAAATTATCTTCAAATATAGTCACATTGGGGGTTAAAATTCCAAAACATGAGTTGGGAGCTGTGTGTATGTGGTGGGCAGAGTGGACACAACTCAGTCCATAGTGATGTCCACCTACTCTACTACGGGACTCCATAAGGGGGGAGTGAGCTCATTGAGGCCATCCTTCCAGCCATTCCCTGAGAAAAGCATGAGGATTTTCAGTGAAGAGCAGCCCAACTACCAAATGGATACATTCTGAGTTGCCAGTTAATGCCAGGTGTTACAGAAAAATCATCCCAGTGAGCCCTACCTGTTGGGGCAGTTTGTTATGCAGTATGAAATAATCAGAATAAGGAGTTGCATTCAGTTATTAATCAAATCAATATGTGGTTACTAATTGTGACAACTTCTATGATGGAAGAGACAGGATGCTATGAGAAAGAATAACACAGTGGGTGGGAATGGCATCACAAACTGCAAGGGAGAAATAATTGAAGGACCTAGAGATGTTGGGCCTGAAGAAGATTTCAATGCTTTTGTGAGCTCTGGAACCATTTCTCTTCCCTTTCTGGGCTAAACTCCTTGAATAAGCGGATCCCTCCGCTTTCCTTGCAGGTGACCACTCCCTCCAGATCAGCCTCTCATAAAACTTTTCTCGTCTTCCCAGGTCACAACAATTTTTCCCTTTTTAACATTGTATTAGGCTGTGCCGGCACTGCTGTAAAGAAATACCTGAGGGCCGGGTGCAGTGGCTCACACCTGTAATCCCAGTACTTTGGGAGGCTGAGGCTTGCGGATCACTTGAGGTCAGGAGTTTGAGACCAGCCTGGCCAACATAGTGAAACGCTGTCTCTACTAAAAATATAAAAAAATTAGCTGTGTGTGGTGGCGTGTGCCTGTAATCCTAGCTACTTGGGAAGCTGAGGCAGGAGAATCGCTTGAACCTGGGAGGTGGAAGTTGCCGTGAGCCAAGATTGTGTCACTGTACTCCAGCCTTGGCAACACGGAGAGAGACTCCATCTCAAAACAAAACAAAACAAAAAAAGAGAAATACCTGAGACTGGGTAATTTATAAGAAAAGAGTTTTAATTGGCTCATGATTCTGCAGGCTGTACAGGAAGCACAGTGGCAGCTGCTTCTGCAGAGGCCTTGGGAAACTTCCGGGTTTTTTGTTTTGTTTTGTTTTTTTTCAGACGGAGTTTCTCTCTTGTTGCCCAGGCTGGAGTGCAATAGTGCTGTCTTGGCTCACTGCAAGCTCCGCCTCCCGGGTTCAAGCAGTTCTCCTGTCTCAGCCTCCAAGTAGCTGGGATTACAGGCGTGCACCACCGCGCTTGTCCAATTTTGTATATTTTTAGTAGAGACTGGTTTCACCATGTTGATCAGGCTGGTCTTGAACTCCTGACCTCAAGTGATCCACCTGCCTCGGCCTCCCAAAGTGCTGGGATTACAGGTGTGAGCCACTGCACCTGGCCTAGGAAACTTCGAATCATGGCGGAAAACAAAGGGGGAGCAGGCATATCGCCTAGCGAGAATGGAGCAAGGAGGCCCCACCGGACCCCACCTCCAATATTGGGGATTACATCTCAATGTGAGACAAATATCCAATTTGAGTGGGGACAAATATCCAAACTATATCAAACATTTTTAGAGTTTATGCTGTAGAGCATTTAATTGACATTAAATGATAAACTGTTTCATATTGTTAATTTATTGAGGTAAAATATACATAAAGGGAACAAGCCTTCAGTGTATAAGCTAATGAATTGTTACATGTGTGTACCCACCATCCAGATCAAGAGGAAAAATATTTTCAGCATCCAGGAAGGCTGTCTCATGTCTCTTTCCATCAGTATCCACTCCCAGAGGTTACTTAGAAAAAATCACTATTCCAAATTTCTAGAAGCATTGATTAATTCTGCCTGTTCTTGAACTTCATATGAAGAGACTCCTATCATGAGCACTTATTGGGGTTTTAAATTGTTGTCTGTTATGAATAAAGCTGCCCTAAACGTTCTGGTGGTATATGTCTGTTCATGGACAAATGCCCTCATTTCTAGGAGTGGAATTGCTAGTAGGCATATGTTTAGTTTTTTAGATAATGCCAAAAAATGTTCCATAGTGAATGTGCTAATTAACACTTCTAGCAGCAATGCATGAGAATTCTAGTTGCCGCACATATTACACCAACACTTGGTACAGCATATGTGTTTTAAAATATTTTAGCTGTTCAGGTGGATTTGTAGTGGTATCTCATTGTGGTTTTAATTTATATTTCCCTGCTAATTAATGATACTGAGCACATTTTCAAATTTTCTTTTGCTGGAGTGCAGTTATGCAATCATGACCCACTGCAGCCTCAACTTCCCAGGCTCACAGGATCCTCCTACCTCAGCCTCCTGAATAGCTCAGACTACAGGCACACGCCACCATGCCTGGCTAATTTTTTTTTTTTTTTTTTGTAGAGATGGTGGGGCAGGGGGAGTCTTACTATGTTGCCCAGGCTGGTCTCGAACTCCTGGGCTCAAGTAATCCTCCCACCTCCTGAAGTGCTGGTGGCATTACAGCGTGAGCCACTGTCCCTGGCCTCATATGTGTACTATTTGAATGTAGTCTTTAGGGAAGTTCCTGATCAAGTCTTTTGTCATTAAAAAAAAATTATTTGTCTTTTTCTTGTTGATTTACAAGAGTGCTTTATATATTTAGGATGAGTCCTTTCTCAGGTATGTATTTTGCAAATGTTTCCTGCAATTTGTGGCTTCCATTTTTCATTTTCTTTTTCTTTTTTTTTTTTCGGGAGACAGAGTCTCACTCTGTTGCCAGGCTGGAGGGCAGTGGCACAATCTCGACTCACTGCAACCTCCGCCTCCCGGGTTCAAGTGATCCTCCTGCCTCAGGCTCCTGAGTAGCTGGGACTACAGGTGTGCGCCACCACGCTCAGCTAATTTTTGTATTTTTAGTAGAGACAGGGTTTCACTGTGTTGGCCAGGATGGTCTTGATCTCTTGACCTTGTGATCTGCCTCAGCCTCCCAAAGTGCTGGGATTACAGGCGTGAGCCACCACGCCCGGCCTCCATTTTTCATTTTCTTAATGATGTTTTTTGATGAATAGAAGTTTCCAGTTTTGATGAATTTTATTTCATCGACTTTATTGATTTATTTTTAAAATTTTTACACTTATTTATTTATTTAATAGACATGGGTTCTCACTGTGTTGCCCAGGCTAGAGTGCAGTGACTGTTCACAGGGGCTATCATTGTGCACTACGACCTCAATTTCCTGGGCTCAAGCGATCCTCCCACCTCAAGCCTCCTGAGTAGCTGGAACTACAGGTGGGTGCCTGTTTAACTTTTTTTTTTTTTCATTTTGGTTACTCTTTCCTGTTTTTGAAATCTTTGCGTACCTTACATTCATTAACATATCCTCTTTCTAGAAGCTTTACTTTCCCTGTCATACTTAGGTGTATGGTCCATTATGAATTCATTTTTGTGTTTGGTGTGAGGCAAAGGTCTAGATTTAGTTTTTTTCCTAATTGGTCCAGCACCTTTTATTGAAAAGTTATATCATAAATTTGTAAATGCATTTCTGTCTATTCACCTCGTTTTAACCACTATCTCCAAAAAGCAGAAAATAGCTGCACTAATGGAAAACCAGTTCACCAGATTTACTTATTCTGTTTTTTTTTTAGACGGAGTCTCCCTCTGCCGTCCAGGCTGGAGTGCAATGGCATGATCTCGGCTTACTGCAACCTCCTGCCTCAGCCTCCTGAGTAGCTGGGACTACAGGTGTGCACCACCATGTCTGGCTATTTTTTTTTTTTTTAAGACAGTGTCTGGCTCTGTCGCCCAGGCTGGAGTGCAATGGCGTGATCTCGGCTCATTGCAACCTCCACCTCCCCGGTCCAAGCAATACTCTTTCCTCAGCCTCCTGAGTAGCTGGGACTACGGGCAGCCACCACCACGCCACCACGACCAGCTGATTTTTATATTTTTAATAGAGACGGGGTTTGACCATGTTGGCCAGGATGGTCTCGCTCTCTTGCCCTCGTGATCCCCGCACCTTGGCCTCCCAAAGTGCTGGGATTACAGGCATGAGCCACCGCACGCGGCCTATTTTTTGTATTTTTAGTAGAGATGGAGTTTCACCATGTTGGCCAGGGTGGTCTTAAACTCCTGACCTCAAGTGATCCGCCCACCTCAGCCTCCCAAAGTGCTGGGATTACAAGTGTGAGCCACCACACAAGGCCTACTTGTTCTTTTTAACTAATTATAACATTTACAGCAACTCATATGTTGAAGCGGTTTTAACAGCTTTAAAAGGTTTCTGTGGGATTATCATTGACCTGTTTTTACTTTGTCTTAGTGATAGCTTTGTAGGAAAGATTAATTTTTCCTTAGCCCAGCAGAGAGAGGTGAGACTGATGGACATAAAAAGAAAATACTCAAGAAAATATATTAATCAATAGTGTATTTTATTATTAGAATACATCCATAAGAATCCTTTATATTTATGCCTACACTCTTCATGAATCTCTTCTTGTGGACATATTTATTTACTTATACATTTCTTAATTCAACATATATTTATTGAATACATTTTTGAATATGGCAATATACATTCATATTTGTTATTATTATTATTATTACGAGATGGAGTTTCACTCTGTTGCCCAGGCTGGAGTGCAGTGGCGCCATCTCAGCTCACTGCAACCTCTGCCTCACAGGTTCAAGGGATTCTCGCGCCTCAGCTTGGGAATACAGGGGTCCGCCACCACGCCCATCTATTTTTTTGTATTTTTAATAGAGACAGGGTTTCACCATGTTGGCCAGGGTGGTCTTGAACTCCTGACCTCAGGCAATCCGCCTGCCTCGGCGTCCCAAAGTGCTGGGATTATAGGCATGAGCCACCGTGCCCAGCCTCATATGTATAATTTTTAGTTAAATTAATAAATTAATATTTATGGTTTTCATCATTATGACTTTGTAATATTTTTCACAGCTGAGCTCCATGGTATACCATAATTACCTTCTTTGACAACCTTTTGTTCTTCCTGGGATTAATAATTGCCTCCTGTTCTTTGCTTACTTTTCTAAATATTTATTCCTAATTCAAAACCAGCTTTCTGACACTATTTTCTCGTCAAATGCATGAGGCAGTATGTCAGTTCCATTTTCCCCCATTGGAAACAACCCTCGTTTAGCCCTCTTTTTTCTATTCCACCGTAGACTGATTGCCTTCTAGCCTGGTAGCTCAGCAGTTGCCCCGGAGTTTTTTCCTTTACCTTTCTTCTGTGTTAGGTCCCCAGTCACCGGATTTCATATTTCCTTTTTCTTAGTTTAATTCCCTAGTTAGTGGACAATTCTCCAGAAGCTTTCTGAGAAAAGGTACTTGGGAGATAATGTTCTGCAAATGTCCATTCACATTTGATTGATAGTTTGGCTGGGTTCAGAAATCTAGTTGTGGAAACTATTTTCCTTTATTGAAATGATTTAGAAGGCATTGCCTCATTGTCTTTCAGCTTTTGGTGTTGGTGCTGCTGTGGAGAAAAAAAGATGACATTCTAATTCATAATCCTTTCTGTGCAATCTTTTAGTTTTGTTTTCCTTCTGGAAACATTTAGGATATTCACTTTATTCATCTGATATTTCACAATGACAAGCTTTATTGTGGGGCTTTGCCACACCCTATGCAGGGTAGTTGGTGGGCCTTTTAAATCTGGAGACTTAAGGTCTTTGGTTCTGAAAAATAATCTTATATTACATCTTTATCTCCTTTATTCCACTTTCTCCTCTTTTCCTAGAATCCCTGTTAGTTTGTTGGCATATCTTCTATTATACACCATTTTATTTTCTTATCAATTCTTTGCTATTTTCCATCATTCACCCCAAACTTTCCAGATTTCTACAACCTTATTTTGAAATTTTAGGCCAGGCGCAGTGGCTCACAACTGTAATCCCAGCACTTTGGGAGGCTGAGGCGGGCGGATCACCTGAGGTTGGGAGTTCGAGACCAGTCAGACCAACATGGAGAAACCCTGTCTTAACTAAAAACATAAAATTAGCCGGGCGTGGTGGCGCATGCCTGTAATCCCAGCTACTCTGGAGGCAGAAGAATCTCTTGAACCTGGAAGGCAGAGGTTGTGGTGAGCCGAGATTGCATCATTGCACTCCAGCCTGGGCAACAAGCGCCAAACCCCGTCTCAAGAAAAAAAAAAAAGAAATTTTTAAAAATCCAGCCATCATAATATTATTAATAATTTTAAGAACTCCCCTCCTTTTTGTTTCATGAGTGCAGTATCTTCTCTTACTTTCCCGAGGATTAATTATAATTTTTAAAAAATCCAACTTCCTGCATTGTATTTGTTTCCTCTTAGGTTCTTCCTGCCCCCTTCTGTTTGTATTCGTCCTTGTCTTATTGTAGAAATATTTTCACAACCACCTGATTATCCTTGGTTGTCGTACATATTTTAAGTAAGGCACTAAACACCTGATTCTGGAAGCTCTGTGGACCTGCTCCAAGCCTGTAGACTGCAGAGTCTTTGGGGATTCTATGGAGACCCAGCCATTTCTTTGGGAGATCCTCAAATACCAGTGTTTGTCGTTGTTTTAATTTTTATTTTTTCCTTGTAAATTGACTTGGATATCTCATCTGTCTTTCTTTATCTCTGGAAAACTTTATCCCAGTTTCCCTTGACATACTCCTTCAACCTCCTGGGAGAGGTAGGGGGAGGGGAGATGAGCCTGTTTGACTAGTTCTGGGAATGTGGTGAGGGAAGAGATCTGGGGATTTCGGCTCAGTGCTGACACTTCCTTCATGCTACTCTGGTTTAGCACCCCTGCACTTCACCCTCTTTCAACTCCTGACCAAGTCAACTCCTGTTACTCACATCGACAGTCATTTTTCATGTTCAAGACCCCTGAACCGCTCTCATCCCCCACTCTCCGCTAACTCTCCTGCTTCGCTTCAGGTCTACATTGCCTCGCTCATTTCTTCCCTGCTGAGCTCTTTGATTAGTTTGCTAAGCAGCATCTCGGGAACAGCCCCCGTGCTATGTGTTCTTTCTTGTCATGGATATGTGTTTTTTCTTGTCATGCTATGTGTTCTTTCTTGTTCAAGGCAGAGTCGCGGCTGGGTTGTTAGGATGCTCGCGCCCCTGTACCCGGGGCGTGCAGGGAAGTGTAAGAAGGGGGCGAAGGGCGAGAAACGCTGAATTCTAGCCTGAATTGGTAGGAGAGCCTCGCAAGCTGAGTCACGGTTCCTGATTCCATTTAAATAGAACGTTTTGTTCACTTGTAGGAATTTCCTTTTCCATTTCTTTCATTAAATCGCGAACGTAGTAATGACTTAACGCTGGTTACGCATTCATTACAATCGAAGATTATATTAATTTGCGATGGTAAGTGTCCCAGGTGTCAGGATGGCCGAGTGGTCTAAGGCGCCAGACTCAAGCTTGGCTTCCTCGTGTTGAGGATTCTGGTCTCCAATGGAGGCGTGGGTTCGAATCCCACTTCTGACACAACTATCTTATTCTCCTTTTACTCTACTTTCTCAGCCATTTCTGTGTTTTCATTCTTTCTACCTCAACTTTTTTTATTCTAACTAAAATGATACACTCTCAATGAGGTCTGCCCCCTTGCTTTTCAGTCTTGTTCGCTGTTTAGTAGTGAATCACGTTTTGCCCCGCTTTGGTCAGTTCGTTAAAAGGCGCATTCATTTACCACATGAGCACTCACCCAGAGGCGTACTGGGAGGAAACTAGACTAGGTAGGAATAGAAAGACATGTATACAGACTCCATCATTACATACTGGCCCTGAGCTCATAGGTTATTGGGACCGCAGATTACATGTTTTTCCTCACGGCCAGAAACCATCAAAAATAAAAGTGATGAAACTGAAATTGAAAGCAGCAAGGTTCACGCTCAAGGTTATCGGAAACAAGGCAAAAGGAGAGAAATGAAAGGTTCCACCGAGATTTGAACTCGGATCGCTGGATTCAGAGTCCAGAGTGCTAACCATTACACCATGGAACCCTACTTAACAAAAAATGGATACTCGATCCACCTGGGGTCTCTCTTGTCTTCTACTTACTAATTGATTTAAAGTAATTTTGCAGGGGCAGTTTTTTTGTTTTGGATGGCCAAACGCAGGGATGGGAGGGGTAGGGCTCACACACTGTTTCCACCGCGCCTTTCTCCCAGATTTCTTTCCATCCTTCGGGGCAGGGCAGTATACTGATCTGGGAATATGGTTATTCCTGGAGATTTTTATTTTCTTTCGTTTCCAGCCCACGAAAAGGTGAATTGAATTTTAGTCTCACGGTTTGAAAGGGAGAAAAGAGAGAAAAGAAAAAATATACTATCTACTTTCTACAGTCTTATTTATTCATTGTACGATACCTACAGATGCCTCTAGAACAACCTCCGAGTATCTTGGCACTGCCCCTCAGTTGTAACCATGGGCTTAAATTTTTAAAATCTGTCTCCCGCATTCCTCCAAAATGCCTTAAGTGCAGGGCTGAGTCTCAGTAGTCTTTGATAGCCCACGGTCTGCTACTTTGTAGAAGCTCAACCAATGCTTGTTGCATGAATGCATAAATGAAAGGATGAGTGAATGAATGAATGAATGAATGAATGAATACTCAGTGGGACAGCCCAGCTTAGACTTTTGGGAGACTTTAGACTTCTTTTTTGCCTTCACTTGCTAGGCTAAATTTTACAAGTTCAAAAGGGAATAATTATTTCTCCTCCTCCTCCTATCTTCTTTTGCCTTTCCAGGTCCCAGCTCCCAGGTGGACATCTTAGCGTCCAGATGACCCAACATATAGGTGTCCTTTAGTATGGATGACCAAACTAGGATGTTATAGTGCTGGATGTAGTAATTCATTTTTTCAAATCTTAACTTTATTAAGATAACATGGTTATTTATCTAGTAATTGTGAGAACAACATATAACAAATAGACCACATATATACGTAGCGTGTCTGGAAGAAATACTCAGATATAAATTACTACTTTAGTCAATCTTAATATTAATTATTTGTCAACTATGCTTAATGTGCCTCTCTAGTCTCTCAAGACTAAATTGCTAAGGAACCCTGGAATCATTTGCTGGCATTCATCCTTTCAAGCAAGGTGCCTGTTACAAAATATCTGCTCAATTAGTATGTATTGGATACATCTTTTGGAAGGTGAGGAAGGAAGCAGTGAAATTAGAAGACTTCTGCCTAGGCGACTGTAAAGTGCTCCTAAGCATCTACCCACCTCCCTGCACACAAAAACTCTCCATTCTATCTCCTCGAGTCTCCTAGCCTTAAAAGATGGTCTAAACTACCCCAGATCCAGGTAAATAACGGATCAAGTCCTTCTTCCCTAAAACAGGTGTTATTCTTTCTATTCTATGAGCCTCCACCTTATTTCTTAAAAAAAAAAAAGAAAAAAATGTTTACTGTTTAAGAAGATAACAGAATCTCAAAAGCTAACTCTTCAACTGTGTTCAACTAAGGACCTTAAACTGCTCTCTGAGGATAGGTGAAGCGGGAAAGGCTCTAGGTGTCTGGTGACTGTTTCTTTTGTTGGTTCGTTTGTTTTTTCAGCCTTAGCACATTTATCCCTTGGAGAAGACAATGGAAAATAGGGCAGATGAGCGTGCGTGGCTTATTTATTCTTGAGTCTGGAGTTAAGAAGGTTGTACTTTT
Organism: Homo sapiens; assembly: GCF_000001405.40. NCBI lineage: Eukaryota > Metazoa > Chordata > Mammalia > Primates > Hominidae > Homo > Homo sapiens. The sequence continues at coordinate 208,900 of NT_167246.2, forward strand.
TCCTTAGGATTGCCCTTGGTTGGTTCACAAATTTCGCAAAGTGAATGAAAACACATGAAGGCCACTGAAGGGAATAACTAGGGGACGAGATGTCTGAGCCCCTAAATCGAGAAACATTTGGGCACCGTTTGTGGGACTGTACATATGGGTGTTATCTGTGGCCCCTAGGAAAACAGAAGAGGAACCTGTCTCACTTAGGAAGCTGTGAGAACTGCCCACACAAGGCTTGAAAATGGAACTTTACTGGGTCAGAATGACGAGGGGGAAAAAAAAATACCTCACACTGGCAGCGGTGGGATTCGAACCCACGCCCCCGAAGAGACTGGAGCCTTAATCCAGCGCCTTAGACCGCTCGGCCACGCTACCACCCACAGGGTGCGTCGCCGCTTTCAGTTTCACCCAAGTGACTGTCGCCCCTTTCCAGTCCTTTCATTCCCATTCCCACATCACCATAAGCCCTTCCCTCAGGCCCCTTCTTCAGCATTCCTTGCTTCTCAGCATAGCCCGAGAACCCCCGATCCCTGACACTTTGCTTCTTCTCAGCTCCCAGATGGATCCTGGACAGGATGCTGCAGGTGGTGCAGGAGGGGAATCCTGCCCCATTTATCATCAACACAGTAAAAAGGGGTCGAAGAGACCGAGAGCGCCAGAGGACGCCATGGGCTCCACATCCACTTGGATTCCAGGGAGTAAGCCTCTCGACTTCAGGAGTAAGCAAGGCCAACCGTTTGGTTTGAGCCTGTTGCTTCTAAGAAAAGCGAGGAAAAATCCTGAGACCTCCTCCCCTCGCCCTTCATCCACTTCAGGGGACCGAGTGTCTCCACGGAACTTCACAAGGGAGGAAAAGAGTGAACTCATTATTATTTGTCTTGTCTTCGTTTCAGAGGCGGTACATCTACGAAAGCCCTAATCATAGAGGGAAAGACTCCTCGTTCCTGGCCCAGAAATGAGATGAGAAATCCAGGGCCCCGTACAGGAAGGCCTTTCGCAAAGTCCAGACTCAATTGCCTTCGCAGCCCTTAAAGTTTCCTTAGGAAGGTCTGTGGGAGAACGAGGTTGGTTTAGGAATTGGCCCCTGCCTTGTACTACGTAGTTTTGTCATCCAAAGTGTTTTAGAAGTGAATTGAATCATAGTTACGCCTTATTTTGAAACACTGTAATTCAGAGAACGTAAAACCTTATTAAAATGCCTCATAATCATCTTGGTAGAGCCGTTGGTTAAGCGGGAGAGACAGTTGCCTCCTTAGCGCAGTAGGCAGCGCGTCAGTCTCATAATCTGAAGGTCCTGAGTTCGAACCTCAGAGGGGGCAAGGCGTCTGTTTTGCCATTTTACTTCTTCTTGATCCAAAATGAGTAAGACAACAAAGGAAGTTGACAAAACGTTGTTCTTTCTCTGCTTTCTCTATAGAAAAGTGTACAATATGTCTGGTAAGGGAAAAAAAAATCTAAGGACATTGCTTTGATGGAACAGAACGGGTAATTGCTGTTTAATAGAACCATGTTCAGTTACAAAACAGTGATTTTCACTAAGAATTAAATTCTCCAAAATTCTCATCTCCCCTCCCGCCCTGCATACCAATTGGAGATAGAGCTGGTAGCATTTTCAAATGTTTTTCAGATATGCTTGGCAATTGTCTTTGTTTTAACAACACCAGAGTCAAGAAACTTGCCAGTTTTAGAGTGCTGAGATAAGAAAAAGTGGGTGGAGGGTTGTACTAGGGGTGTGGAAGGTATAGAATCTAATTATCAATTACTGACTTGGTTATCTTTTACCATTCTTCTGGAATGGCTTACCACCAGGTTGCCACCAATAACATTCCATATGAAAAAAGAAAGGAAACAAAAAACTGACAAAAAACTCCCCCCTCAGTCTCATTGCATTGGACCTTTTCTCTTGCTTCCAGTCCTGTTGACTGGATCTAAATCATCCAAACTACCAGATGCAGGAAGGGGTAAAAAGAGAAACAAGAAGTGAAGAAGATAGGCTGATATTTACAGTCAAGATGAGCCCCTGACTCAAATAATAATGAGCAAGACTGATCATTAATGTCCTGCTCTTGAGTCCTACTTTGTTCCAAGCTGTGTTCCTATTAATCCATTCCCTCTCAGCTTTAAAATCACCCTTATATACTTTGTTTTGTGACATTGGGGCTGGGCGCCTGCAAATGATATTTCCCAAACTCCTTTGCCCATTGGCTTCCTCTTGTGTTCTGTCAATAAGAGGAACCAGAAAGAGACTAGAAAGCAAGAGGAGAGAAGCAGGGGCTGCTTTCTAAATTTTGTTCTTCCTGTCAGGTCACTCCAACAATGGCAGTTGAATCCCATCTCTATTTGTTCTCTTCATGCATTCCAGAATGTCTCACTGTCCATTACATAAGTAAGTAGTAGTCCAGCTGCAGCGCGTCCTCTTTAGCACTCCAGGATGCCTTTCCTCAGTGGTCTCAACCTCTTCCTTTTTGTTCTTCCAGCCCTACAAGGTGGTAGCTACTTCCCAGTAGTTATCACCTCTGAGTTACCATGGTGTGCCCAGTTGAAATACCTAGTCTTATTCCTTTTTTTTTGAGACAGAGTCTTGTTCTGTCACCCAGGCTGGAGTGCAGTGGCACAATCTCAGCTCGCTGCAACCTCTGCCTCCCGGGTTCAAGCGATTCTCCTGCTTCAGCGTCCCAGGTAGCTGGAATTACAGGCGCCCGCCACGACGTCCAGCTAATTTTTGTATTTTTACCAGAGACGGGGTTTCACCATGTTGGCCAGGCTGGTCTTGAACTCCTGACCTCAAGTGATCTGCCCGCTTCGGCCTCCCAAAGCGCTGGGATTACAGATGTGAGCCACCGTGCCCAGCCTTATTTCTTAACTAGACCCTGAACCACACATAGGGGGTGCAGGGATAGCACTCCACACAACAGAAAAAGCTTCTGCTCTCATGGAGTTTACATTTTAGTGGGGAATGATAAAGAATAAATTCAACCAGATATATAAAATGTGAAGTAGTGATACATGCCATGAAGGAAAAGAGCAAGAGAATGGAGAACAAAGGGGAGGGGATTGCTTTATAATAAAGGGTGACCAAGGAGGCCTTCCTGATAAGGAGGCATCTGAACAGAGACTTGAAGGAAGTGAGTGAGTGAGCTGTGAGGCTATCAGGGAGAAGAGAATTTCAGGCCAAGGGAACAGTAATTACAAAAGGCTTGGCAGGAATGCCATTGGCATGTTCAAGGAACGAAGGAGGAGACTAGTGCAGCTGTAGGTCAGTAAACAAGGGAGAACTTGATAGGAGATGAGGGGGTTAGATACACATAGACCCTACAGGATGCACATAGATCATGCAGGGTCTCAGAGGTCATGATCATGTTCAGAGAGGGAATTCGCTGCATAGGGGAGAGAAAAGACAACAGTGATTTAAGTTGTGGAGGTCAGCCAGACCTTGAGAATATTCTGATTCATGAGTCTGAGATAGAATCTGTGAATCTTTTTTTTTTTTTTGAGATGGAGTTTCACTCTTGTTGCCCAGGCTAGAGTGCAATGGCACGATCTCGGCTCACGGCAACCTCTACCTCCTGGTTCAAGCGATTCTCCTGCCTCAGCCTCTGGAGTAGCTGGGATTACAGGCATGCGCCACCACGCCCGGCTAATTTTGTGTTTTTAGTAGAGATGTGGTTTCTCCATGTTGGTCAGGCTGGTCTCGATCTCCTGGCCTCAGATGATCCATGCACCTGGGTCTCCCAAAGTGCTGGGATTACAGGTGTGAGCCACTGCAACTGGCCTGAATCTGAGTTTTTAACAGTGACTCCAGGAGATTTGAATGCCATCAGTGTGGCAACATTTTGGAAGCCCCAGTCAAGGACTTACTCGGCCTATATTCATTTATCCTATGTTGACCGTCTCTGGAGAGATCATTTCCTCCCAAAATTCTCCTCATTTTTGTTTAGTCATCCAGGGCTTGCTTACTGGTTAAAACTAGGAGCACTTGCCTCATCAAGAGCAGAATAAATGTTCTATGCTTCCCAGAGAACTCTCAAAAGCTACAAGGTGCCATTTCCTATTCTGCTTTATTTCTAATTTTTCTTTTTTCTTTCTTTCTTTTTTTTTTTTTTTGAGATGGAGTCTTGCTCTGTCACCCAGGCTGGAGTGTAGTGGTGTGATCTCGGCTCACTGCAACCTCTGCCTCCCAGGTTCAAGTGATTATTTTGCCTCAGACCCTTGAGGTAGCTGGGACTACAGTCATGCACCACCACACCTGGCTCATTTTTGTGTTTTTAGTAGAGATGCGGTTTCATCATGTTTGCCAGGCTGGTCTGGAACTCCCGACCACAATTGATTTGCCCACCTCTGCCTCCCAAAATGTTGGGATTACAGGTGGGAGCCACTGGCCTCGCCCTGTTTTGCTTTATTTCTGCCTTTCCCTGTAAAGAGCTTTTCTTGGTAAATAAGCAGCTGAGACATCTTGACACCTCCTGCCCTCCAGGTTCCCAGGGGCAGTCTGGGCCCAAGTTTTCTTTCTTCTAGCTGTTCCCCAGTTTCTCTGCATCATTCCTCCCCACTGCCATGTCTCGATGGCCTTCTTCTGCACAATGGCCTAATTTATGTTTTTGCATCACCTCTTCCTCCATTCTGACTCATTCTTTACATAAAGCCAGTGTACTCTTAAAAGTAATCTCATCATGTCATTTCTTCCTGCTTAGAATTCCCAGTGGCTTCACATTGCTGCTAGGGTGCAGTCAGCTCTCTGCACTACTAGCCATAACCTCTGAGCCTGTGAGTCACTGGTCTGTCCCTGCCTTCCTGTCCACCTCAGACCCCACCTTCATGAACACTCTCTTGAGCTCTCTGTACACAAGCTGCTCAGGCCTTCTCTCAGGTGTCTGGAAGTGTTCTGCTCTTTAATCTCCCTGGAATGCTGGAATCACATTTTTGTCCAACTAGGCCTTTAGTTTTCAGTTTAAACATCACTTCCTGGGAGAAGTCTTCTCTAATCCCCTGGAAGAGGTCATCTCCCTTTATAATCCATGCTCTTGAAGATAGAGGGCAGGGTGTGATTTACAGTGTGCGATTTACAGTGTGCATTATTTTGTCTCACCTTACTTTTCTCTATGTTCCCTTTATCTTGATTTAAATTAACATTTTTCACTTTATCTTACAGTATAGTTGTGTAAATAACCTCGAATCTGTTTTTCAATAGTAGCATAAATAAATGCACGATCAGAAATGTACCACATGACAACCATTGTGCTAGACCTAGCCTTTGAGGGATTTCTGCTGTGAGATTAAAGTGGTCAAGAGATTAACAAACTTGTCTAAAGTGGCACAAGCAAAATGGTTAAAATACAGTGTTCTAAATGATCCACTTTACAATAAGAATAATTGTGATAACACCTAATTTTCATGGAAATGTCACCAAGCGTTTGCTTACATTATCTCGTTTAATTTGCAAAGTAAGGTCATGAGATTTTGCTTGTTTTTCCTCAACATTTTGTAACCTGAACGTTTTCTCAAGAGCATGTGTTACAGTGACTGTTTAAACAGTGTAATTTGTCGTTTAACGGCTGCTTTTCACTTGTAAAATATGAACGCCCCAAGGGCTGAGGTAGTGTGTCCCGAATTGGTGGGTTCTTGATCTCACTGACTTCAAGAATGAAGCCACGGGCCCTCGCGGTGAGTGTTACAGCTCTTAACGTGACGTGTCTGGAGTTTGTTCCTTCTGATGTTCCCATGTGTTAGGAGTATTCTTCTTTCTGGTGGGTTCGTGGTCTCGCTAACTCAGGAGTGAAACTGCAAACCTTCGGAGAGAGTATTACAGCTCTTAAGACAGCACGTCTGGAATTGTTCGCTCTTCCTGCTGGGCTTGCGCTTTCGCTGACTTCAGGAAAAAAGCTGCAGACCTTCACGGTGAGTCTTACAGCTCATAAAAGCAATGTGGACCCAAACAGTAACCAGTCGCAAAATTTATTGCAAAGAGCAAAAAAAAAAACAACACTCTACAATATGGAAGAAGAGCCGAGCGGGTTGTGGATGCTGGCTCCGGCAGCCTGCTTTTATTCTCTTAGCTGGCCCCACCCACATCCTGCTGATTGGTAGAGCCGAGTGGCCTGTTTTGACAGGGTGCTGATTGGTGCATTTACAATCCCTGAGCTAGATACAAAGGTTCTCCACGTCCCCACCAGATTAGTTAGATACAGAGTTTTGACACACAGGTTCTCCACGGCCCCACCAGAGCCGCTAGATACAGTGTCGATTGGTGCACTCACAAACCCTGAGCTAGACACAGGGTGCTGATTGGTGTGTTTACAAACCTTGGGCTAGATACAGAGTGCCGATATGTGTATTTACAATCCCTGAGCTAGACATAAAGATTCTCCACGTCCCCACCAGACTCAGGATCCCAGCTGGCTTCACCCAGTGGATCCCGCACCGGGGTTGCAGGTGGAGTTGCCTGCCAACCCCACGCCATGCGCTCGCACTCCTCATCCCTTGGGTGGTCGATGGGACTGGGTGCCGTGGAGCAGGGGGCGGCGCTCGTCGGGGAGGCTCGGGCTGCACAGGAACCCACGGAGGCGGGGGAAGGCTCAGGCATGGCAGGCTGCAGTCCCGAAGCCTGCCCCGCGGGAAGGCAACTAAGGCCCGGCGAGAAATCGAGCGCAGCGCCGGTGGGCTGGCACCTCTGGGGGATCCAGTACACCCTCTGCAGTCGCTGGCCCGGGTGCTAAGTCCCTTATTGCCCGGGGCCGGCAGGGCCTGCCGGCTGCTCCGAGTGCGAGGCCCGCCAAGCCCACGCCCACCCGGAACTCCAGCTGGCCCGCAAGCGCCGCATGCAGCCCCGGTTCCCGCTCGCGCCTCTCTCTCCACACCTCCCTGCAAGCTGAGGGAGTGGGCTCCGGCCTTGGCCAGCCCAGAAAGGGGCTCCCACAGTGCAGTGGTGGGCTGAAGGGCTCCTCAAGTGCCGCCAAAGTAGGAGCCCAGGCAGAGGAGGCGCCCAGAGCAAGCGAGGGCTGTGAGGACTGCCAGCACGCTGTCACCTCTCAGTAGTACTTCTCCACTGCAGGAAACCCGGGGCAAAGCTGAGAGCCTTGCTCAAAATAAGTTCTCAAAACCTATTTTTTTTTTTTCTGGAGTCTCACTCTGTCACCAGGTTGAAGTGCAGAGGCAAGATCTCGGCTCCCTGCAACCTTCGCCTCCCGGGTTGAAGCGATTCCCTTGCCTCAGCCTCCCGAGTAGCTGGGACTACAGGCGTGCGCCACCACGCCCGGCTAATTTTTTTGTATTTTAGTAGAGACGAGGTTTCACCATGTTGGCCAGGATGGTCTAGATTTCCTGACCTTGTGATCGCCCGCCTCGGCCTCCCAAAGTGCTGAGATTACAGGCGTGAGCCACCGCGCCCGTGTGCCAGGTGTTCTTAAGGTCGCAGGGAAGACTGGAGCATAACCTTTGAAGACTAAAGACAAGACAAACCCGGCGATTACGTCTGTAGTTATACATTGCTTTTACAAGTAATTGTTTGGAGTACATTACACAAAGATGGGAGTTAATTTTTTCCATGAGTTGGGGACAAAAATAACTGTGAGCCATATTCAAAGTGGGCAAAAGCATAGATGGGAATAAAGAAAAGGAACATGGATAGGATTTAAGTTGGACGATATCAAGTTTCTGCACCTTTTTACTCACTAGAATGTGCAGGAAGAAGGCTTTTGCAGGGAGCCCGGATAGCTCAGTCGGTAGAGCATCAGACTTTTAATCTGAGGGTCCAGGGTTCAAGTCCCTGTTCGGGCGGGAGTGGTGGCTTTTAGTACCTGATTCTGGTATCATGTTTGAAAAAGCCAAAAAGGATACTATCGTTTTATAGGGACAGATTTCATATACTGCAAAAATTCACCAAACCCTGTAGAACCCCAAATTTTAAACCACGAATAGGCGAGTAACTCTGATGCCAAATAAAAGTAGTAAGGTGAATACATGGGCCCTCTACAGTGAGATAGCCCCAGATTTTCTGAAGAAAACTAACATTTAAGGACAACCTTAGAATACGAAGTATTTAATATTTTATGATTCCTGTTACTCTGCTTACAGGTGCCAAAGTAATCTTCTGTTGTTACTTGCTTTCCAGTGCAGAGTTTATTTTACGTAGGAGGGAATATACTGATCAATTATCAAGAAAGTTATAATATGTTCATATTCTGGCTTGGCATATTTCTGGCATTTAGTTACCGTGAGTCAGCCCTGCAAGTCTTAAAAACTCTAGGTGAATTTAAAAATAGTTTCCGGCCGAGCGCTGTGGCTCACGCCTGTAATCCCAGCACTTTGGGAGGCCGAGGCGGGCGGATCTCGAGACCATCCTGGCCAACACGGTGAAACCCCGTCTCTACTAAAAATACAAAAATAATTAGCTGGGCGTGGTGGCGGGCGCATGTAGTCCCAGCTACTCGGGAGGCTGAGGCTGGAGAAGGGCGTGAACCCGGGAGGTAGAGCTTGCAGTGAGCCGAGATTGCGCCACTGCACTCCAGCCTGGGCGACAGAGCGACTCCGTCACAAAAAATAAAAATAAAAATACATAAAAATAATTTCTGACGGGGCGCGGTGGCTCACGCCTGTAATCCCAGCACTCTGGGAGTCCGAGGCGGGCAGATCACCTGCGGTCAGGAGTTCGAGACCAGCCGGGCCAACATGCTGAAACAGTCTCTACTAAAAATACAAAAATTAGCCGAGAGTGGTGGTACGCGCCTATAATCCCAGCTACTTGGGAGGCTGAGGCAGGAGAATAGCTTGAACCAGGGAGGCAGAGGTTGCAGCGAGCCGAGATCGCACGGCTCCACTCCATCCTGGTAGACAGAGGGAGACTCAAAATAAATAATACAAATAAGTAAATAAAATAAAAATAGTGTCTGATTCTGCAAAGGAGAGGAACAGACTCTGAATTGTGATGGCTCCAATAAGGATAAAGCAGTCTCTGGAGAGCTGCCTGAACAGCCAGACAACCCAGCTCTTAGGCTTCTCCCAAATCTTTAACAGCATTTCCTTAACTGTGGTAGATGCAGGCTCCTGGAACCAGAGGCCTAGGGTCCAGACGAAATTGTTAAGATGTTCCCTATAAAACGCTTCCTTAAGTCGGCAACAGAATGAACTGTTAAGAGAGCTGTCCTGAAATACAGACCCCTGAGGTCCAGACATGTTGGAGGAGAGCCCTCTCTTTTTGCAGCACGGACTGGGCCAGAGAGGTATAGCCTGCAAGATGAATTTCAGTATGTGTAACTGCTGGGGTGATGATTGCAAGTAATCTAAGTTTGAGATGTTGATTGTGTGGAATAAGATAGTGACAAGAAGCATGGAAAGAAAACCATAACATTTAATATGCAAATTAAATGATTGATTTGAGAAATACTTGTTTATCAGATACCGTGCTAGGCACTGAAAATATAGAACTGGATAAAACAAATTCAGTCTCTAACGGAATTTACAGTCTAGGAGGATGGGTGGGCAACAGACAATAAAAACGTTAAAAAATAAAAGAACAAGGAAACTTTATATAGTAAAAAATTCTATGAAGAAAATAAAACAGCTTGAGGTTGATGTGATGGGAGGTTGGTGAGTGAAAGAAGGGATGGTGTGTTGGTTTCCTAGGGCTGCCACAACAAATTGAATATCAGGTTTTCATCTGTCTATTCATTTTTTCAATAAATTAAGTTGCACCAGTAGAAGGATACTGTCCCACGAGGGAATTGAGGTCAGAAGAACTCGGAGAAAACAGCAAGCCCACTGGAAAGAGATGATACTCATAAGAAGAACTAAAAGAGATTTACTAGAACTTGATAAGCCGTCGGGACAAAGAGAGCTGAGACTTCGTCTGTCTGACAACATATGCCGGGCCCGGCAATTATAGAGATAATTGTATACTGAACAAATAGGGTTATTTGTGGAAGTTGGGGACAAAATGGCAGCTGCCCCCTCTGAGGTTCGAACTCAGGACCTTCAGATTATGAGACTGACGCGCTGCCTACTGCGCTAAGGAGGCAGACAACTAGTGCTCCTCAGCAGGTGTTTTCAACACTGATTTTTACCTTATTTAAACATTTTTGTCTACATTACCTTTATTTTAAATTTCTAAAATAAAATATTCTTATGAAACTTCTCAAAGCTCACCAGCTTCCAAAACCTGAATCAGATGAAGAAAGTCGCTGCTGATCCCGCTGCTTTTGCCCCTCTTATTCTGAACTGATGACCCCCCACTTCTCACCTTAGGTGGAAAATTTCCAAAACGTCCTGTCCAGAAACCTGACAATTAACCTGCACGGGCGTCCATCCATTTTGTCTGGAGAGATCAGGAAAACGGCCTGTTTTTCTCTCTCCCTCCATACCGGTTCTTTCCCGCAGGAAAAGTGATCCGGTGTTTCCCATCCGGAAGCATTGAAGCGTTTACTATCTTAAACAACAAAACAATGTCCTTTGACAGGCGTCTCCACCTGTCGCTATCTCATGTGCTCAAACGTCTTGTAAGGCCGTCTTAATGTACAGCAAACTTCTTGTAAGGCCGTCTTAATGTACAGCAAACTCCTTGTAAGGCCGTCTGTTTTAAAAAAATACCTCCCTAAGTCCCACTGGCTTTTCAACCCACTGCAGTCTTCCCCAATCACGTCTCCGTCTCGGTCTTGAGGAAGTCCAAAGGGATTTGGACAAATGCAACTTCATGGGGTAAAGAATATGGCGCTCTTGGTGCAAACTCTTGGGCATCTGCTAGGATGTGAGAACGGTAGTAATAGCAGGAAGGGGTGAAAAGCTTGTCTTCTCCACTGTCTTTGTTTGCCAGGGGATTGTCTGGAGTTTAGCACTCAAAGACCCACTTCCCAGGAAAACCCTACCTGGGATGTGAAAAGTCCGGGCTTTCGGTTTTTGGCGATAGGTTGGAGAGAATATATACACACAAAAAGTGACAACCCCATCCTTGTTCCCACCCCTGCCCCAGGGCCGAAAGCAACACTGATTTTATTGCCAATGGATAATAGGGTTTAGGTTATCCCACTTTTGTAGTTGTCGCCGTTTTTCCCCTGTCCGCTGATGGTGACAACCTTGCACCGTGCATCGCTCTGAGTGAGGCGACTTAAATGCGCGATGTTACCGTTTTCAGCCGTGACCGTAGCACTCGGTCTTTGACTGTAGACTGTTGTGTCTACATAGTGCTAGTTTGTATTGCTAGTTTAATTTTTTTTTTTTTTTTTGAGACGGAGTTTCGTTCTTGTCGCCCAGGCTGGAGGGCAACGGCGTGATCTTGGGTCACTGCAACAGCTGCCTCCAGGGTTCAAGCGATTCTCCTGCCTCAGCCTCCCGAGTAGCTGGGATTACAAGCCTGCACCACCACGCCCGGCTAATTTTTTGTATCTTTAGTAGAGACGGGGTTTCACCATGTTGGCCAGGCTATTCTGGAACTGCTGACCTCAAGTGATCCGCCCGCCTCGACCTCGCAAAGTGCTGGGATTACAGGCCTGAGCCACCGCGCCCGGCCTTAGTTTAATTTTTAACATTGTGAATATTATGGCCAGATTTTTAGAGTTTAGATAACGAAAACGAGAACGATTATCATGCGAACGCCAGCATAACCCAGATAGCACTGAAAAAGTCTAAGTAGACTGTTACTTCAATGACAGATAGAAGGACACATACAACCGGATTTGGAGAATAAATAATCAAAACGGAGCATACTACGCAATATTCAAAACAGATTTGGATGTGAAAGTACACAGGGAGACGGCATCTCTCAAGTCTGGGATGAGACAGGCAAGAACTTCTGAACCAATCAAAAGTGTTTTTGTCTCCCAAAAGTGACACCAGCGCTCTGTAGAGAATAGCATTGGGCTTGCTTACAAGGAGACCTTAAAAAAAGTTAAAATTAAATAAAAGAAAATGGTATTGGGCAGAATATTAGAAAAGAACACGCATTATTTTATGGCTTCCTTAATTACTCTATTTCCTGATTCAGAGGTTGCATCTCGTGGGTGAACAAGAGGAAATTCTGATACCACATATTGGTCTCTTGCAGTGTACAGCTGATTCTATCAGACGACCTTGCTCTCTACAACATAATGATGTGTCAAATCCACCTCAACCATTAAAAAAAAAGTTTCCCTTAGCTCTTACATACTTTGATTTGAAACATGATGTTGAAAATCATCTTTCCTGGTATGCATGAAGACTTAATGAAACCACTTGAAGCATAAACAATCATTGATATGTTGGTCAACTACAAGTTAGATCTTGCTCATCTATCTGCATATTTGGCAGACAGTGCAAATGTAAATTTTGGCAAATTCCATTCAGACTATAAACTTTCTACCAAAGAAAATGAAAAGATCTTACATGTGACGTGTTCTGCACATGTTGTTCACAACACTGCTAAGAGGCCGGGCGTGATGGCTCACGCCTGTAATCCCAGCACTTTAGGAGGCCAAAGCTGGTGGATCACCTGAGGTCAGGAGTTTGAGACCAGCCTGGCTAACATGGTGAAACCCCGTTTCTACTAAAAATACAAAAAATCAACGGGGTGTGGTGGCACATGCCTGTAATCCCAGCTACTCGGGAGGCTGAGGCAGGAGAATCACTTGAACCCCAGAGGCAGAGGTTGCAGTGAGCCGAGATCGTACCATTGCACTCCAGCTTGGGCAACAAGAGCGAAACTCCGTCTCAAACAAAACAAAACAAAACAAACAACACTGCTAAGAAGGATTGTGATTTGTTTACTGGTGATATTGAGGCTTTCATGGCTTAATGAGATTTATGGTCACTTTTTAGTTTCCTCAAAATGTGCAGAAACAATAAGAATTTTCACTTTATAGAAACGAAAGGAGGTAGCCTCCTTAGAAATGTCTAAAGTTGACTATAATTATTGCTGGCCATAGGATAGATGTTAAAATGTTTACTTGGTGTAAAATCATATTTTCAAAATGTGGGACAAGAGGAATGCTATTCTCTAATTTGACAATATTTTAAGAGTGAGAATGGAGAAAAGAACTACCGTAAAACAGAAATTTATACTTTCATTTGTTTGACGTTGTCGAAGAACAAAATTTCAACACACTTAGGTTAAAGATCAGATCAACTTTTATTGGCAATTCATGAATCAGGCAGCATCTCATCTACAAAATAGGAAGGTGCTCTGACGAGGAGATGAGGTTATAGGTAGAAAAGGCTGAAGAAACTACAAACAAGGAACAATAGGTGGATTGGTAATTACAAAGTGACTGTCCTTGTAAGGTTAAAGCAGAGGATACTTCCTTAACATGCTGGCTGAGGTAGTCTGGACCCTTTTCTACTGGTTATTGTGAATCTCCTGTTTTTTGGAAAACTGGCCTGTTTTAAATTTCAGTTTGATTACTTGGCACCCTGCACAAAGGGCTCCCTTCTGGTTTGGTCTGGTCTGTTGGAGCCTAATGCAGGAGTTCATTCCAAAACAATAGCCTCCCATTAATTTTAACAATGTTATGTTATGTAGATTGTGACATAAAGATTCATACACTAAGAAAAGATTCTTTTTTTAAAAAAAAAAGACTGCTTCAGAATGCAAGTTAAATAGGACTTTATCAATCTCTTGCTAAAAATACAATTTATTTGGAATCCAAGCTTTGTTTCCCAAATTTATCATTTATTTATTTCATTTTATTTATTAATTTTTTTGAGATGGAGTCTCCCTCTGTTGCCCAGGCTGGAGTGCTGTGGTGCGATCTCAGCTCGCTGCAACAGTCTGCTATTGCTAGTAAGTAAAATACCGAGTATTCAATGCTCAAATGCTTTTGTTGAGAGGATATTTAGTGTGATTTTATCACACTAGAATGATACCAGGAATCTAAGTAATATGGGCTTGATAAGAGCAGAGCTGCAATTCAAAGTGAATTTTACCTTTGACTGTATTCAGTATTACCACTATATAAAAGAAAATAAAGATGTCTTAAATGTTGCAGACAGGTCACAGAAAGAATATTGGAAAAAGAAACAGAAAGGGTAAAGATACTCGATTGTTTCATGCGACAGAAAGAAATGTCATTATTTTTTATTAAATATAGGTAATATCTGCTTAAGTAGTTTTATTGTAGTTATGTTCTTCTTTTACATTCTTGTTGTATTTTACGTTTTTGTATTTATGTTTTTCATTTATTAATGCGCCTTAAAGTTGAAATAATATAGCCTATGAGACTTAAATATCCAATAGTTTTAAAAAGTTAAAATAAATCACTACATAAGAGAACAGATAGAAATACTAAAAACATATTGTTATATTTTTCCCAAACATATTATTTATGTAATTAGTCCTATTATAAATTACTTCTAATTGCCATTATTAACTACTCCTATTGAGAGGTGACAGCATGCTGGCAGTCCTCAGAGCCCTCGCTTGCTCTCGGCACCTCCCCTGCCTGGGCTCCCACTTTGGTGGCATTTGAGGAGCCCTTCAGCCCCCCCACTGCACTGTGGGAGCCCCTTTCTGGGCTGGCCAAGGCTGGGGTCCACTTCCTCAGCTTGCAGGGAGGTGTGGACGGAGAGGCACGAGCGGGAACCGGGGCTGTGTGCGGCGCTTGCCGGCCAGCTGGAGTTCCGGGTGGGCGTGGGCTTGGTGGGCCCCGCACTCGGAGCAGCCAGCCAGCCCTGCTGGCCCCGGGCAATAGGGAACTTAGCACCTGGGCCAGTGGCTGCGGAGGGTGTACTGGGTCCCCAGCAGTGCCAGCCCACCAGTGCTGTGCTCGATTTCTCGCTGGGCCTTAGCTGCCTTCCCACGGGGCAGGGCTCGGGACCTGCAGCCCACCATGCCTGAGCCTCCCATCCACTCCATGGGCTCCTGTGCGGCCCGAGCCTCCCGGACGAGCACCACCCCCTACTCCATGGTGCCCAGTCCCATGGACCACCCAAGGGCTGAGAAATGCGAGCACAGGGCGCAGGACTGGTAGCCAGCTCCACCTACAGCCCCGGTGCAGGATCCTCTAAGTGAACCCAGCTGGGCTCCTGAGTCTGGTGGGGATGTGGAGAGTCTTTATATGTAGCTCAGGATTGTAAATACACCAATCAGCACCCTGTGTTTAGCTCAAGGTTTGTGAGTGCACCAATCGACACTCTGTATCTAGCTGCTCTGGTGAGGACGTGGAGAACCTTTATGTCTAGCTCAGGGATTGTAAATACACCAATCGGCACTCTGTATCCAGCTCAAGGTTTGTAAACACACCAATCAGCACCCTGTGTTTAGCTCAAGGTTTATGAGTGCACCAATCGACACTCTGTATCTAGCTGCTCTGGTGAGGATGTGGAGAACCTTTATGTCTAGCTCAGAGATTGTAAATACACCAATCGGCACTCTGTATCTAGCTCAAGATTTGTAAACACACCAATCAGCACCCTGTGTTTAGCTCAAGGTTTGTGAGTGCACCAATCGACACTCTGGCTGCTCTGGTGGGGCCTTGGAGAACCTGTGTGTCAAAACTCTGTATCTAACTAATCTGTTGGGGAGGTGGAGAACCTTTGTATCTAGCTCAGGGATTGTAAACGCACCAATCAGCGCCCTGACAAAACAGGCCACTGGGCTCTACCAATCAGCAGGATGTGGATGGGGCCAGATAGGAGAATAAAAGCAGGCTGCCCGAGCCAGCATTGGCAATCCTCTCGGGTTCCTTTCCACATTGTGGAAGCTTTGTTCTTTCGCTTTTTGCAATAAATCTTGCAACTGGTCACTCTTTGGGTCCATGCTGCTTTTGTGAGCTGTAAGACTCACCGTGAAGATCTGCAGTTTCATTCCTGAGCCCAGCAAAACCACGAGCCTACTGGGAAAAACAAACAACTCCAGATGCGCTACCTTAAGAGATGTAACACTCACTATGAAAGTCTGCAGCTTCACTCCTGAGCCAGTGAGACCACGAACCCACCAGAAGAAAGAAACTCCGAACACATCTGAACATCAGAAGGGGCAGACTCCAGACCCACCACCTTAAGAGCTGTAATGCTCACCGTGAGGGTCCGTGGCTTCATTCTTGAAGTCAGTGAGACCAAGAACCTACCAATTCTGGACACACCATTATTGTTTTGTTTAAGTAATAACAGTTTTGCAATGGAGAAACAAATATTGCAGAATAATATATAATTTCAAACATCTATTTTTAAAATTTGATGTCAAAGTAATACATGCATTTATTATATAATTGTTGGATTTTTTTTTTGTGGGGGTGGAAAGGTTTGGTATGGCTATGTCTCAGTTGGCTCCCTAAAAAGTTGAACAGCAACAGCAACTGGTTCACCAGTTTGGGGAAACACTATTTATGAAAAGAATAAAGAATTAAGAGGTCTCAGTGAGCTTCAAGGACAACGTCTGGCTTAACAGATAAAAATGGATGGTTTGATAGATAATAATGGTTTATAGGTGATTGGAGGTAACAGGATGATTGCCAATGGCTTTTCCTTCTTTTCAGATACTTATTCTTTGGGTCATGAAACTGCTTCTGCCTGAATAATAAAACAATTTTAGCAACACTGAAGGAAGTTATTATTTCCTTTCTGCTGTGAAAAAAGATTAAAAGAGGTCATCTCATAAACTTGAGGCTGGTATACTTGAGGTCTTTCATTAACATTCAAGGATTTAATATTTGTGAAAGAAGACCCTCAGGGGTCTAATGAGGAACATGTTGTTTTTTTTTAAATTTATTTTTATTATTTATTTATTTATTTATTTATTTTGAGATGGAGTCTTGCTCTGTTGCCCAGGCTGGAGTGCAGTGGAGCCATCTTGGCTCACTGCAAGCTCCGCCTCCCGGGTTCACGCCATTCTCCTGCCTCAGCCTCCCAAGTAGCTGGGACTACAGGCGCCCGCCACCACACCTGGCTAATTTTTTTGTATTTTTAGTAGAGACGGGGTTTCACCGTGTTAGCCAGGATGGACTCGATCTCCTGACCTCGTGATCCACCTGCTTCGGCCTCCCAAAGAGCTGGGATTACAGGCGTGAGCCACTGCGCCTGGTCGGAATGTGTTTTCATGAAGGGGGAATATCAACTGGGCCAAATGACATTGAGAGGCTGAGCAAATTGAAGCCTGAAAATTGAACATTGGGAGAGCATTGGGAACATTATGGCAGACGGGAGACAGGACTAGATTGCACCTCTTACTTCAATGGACGGAGCAGCGTGTGGAGGCCCTCATCATGAATTTTAACTCCAGAACGACTTCAGGAATAAATCCGGAAACCCGAGAGGACCCACGGACCCTCTGAAGGAAGCAGATTGCTCCTGTAGGACCTGGGAGACACCTCAAATACTGTGAGTGCCCAAACTGTGGAAGTGAGAAAGGGAGATCCTCCGCCCCCGAGCACACACCCCCACTGGGGAAACTGAAGGTCTACTTTACGGGAGAAGATTCTGAATTTATCTGGAGCTGAGTCAATTTAGAGAGCCAAGGGAAATACAGGGGTAGAGGAATCAATTGGACAGGCCCTGTGAGCTTGCTGGGTCCCCAAGTAGGCCACTCCTGCTGGCATCACAGGGATCCTTTGGGAGGGCAGCCAGAGGCACAGGGAAAATGGCACAGGAAGAAGGAAACCTCCAGCTGAGCTTTGTAACAATTTGAACTAGTCAAGAAACCTCATGGCCAGAACTTGGGGGAGGGCATGAATCCAGCATGCAGACTCCACAGGTAGGGGAAGAACTAAAACCCTACTTTCTTTCACAGCTGGGAGGCGGGTAGCCTGGGGCAAATTCTCAACTCTTCTTGCCCACTGCCTGGAAACAGATTTGGTGCTGTTAGGGGAGGCACAGTGGGAGTGAGACTGGCCCTTCAGATTGCATGGGAGCTGGGTGAAGCCTGTGACTGCTGGCTCTCCCCCACTTCCCTGACAACCTACATGACTCAGCAGAGGCAGCCAAAATCCTTCTAGGTACATAACTCCATTGACCTGGGAACCTCCCCTCCTCCACAGCAACCGCAGCAAGACCCACCCAAGGAGAGTCTGAACTCAGACACGCCTAGCCCTGCCCTCACCTGATGGTCCTTCTTTACCCACCCTGATAACTGAACACAAAGGGCATATACCCTTGGGAGTTCTAGGGCCCTGCCTACCGCTGGTTCATCTCCATACTACCACAGTTGATGTTCTCTGGAAAGTGCCACCTACCAACAGGAGGCCAACCAGCACAAAAATAGAGCATTAAACCACCAAAGCTAAGAACCGTCACGGAGTCCATTTCACACCCTGCCACCTCCACTGGAACAGATGCTGGTATCCAAGGCTGAGAGACCCATAGATGGTTCACATCACAGGACTCCGTGAAGACAACCCCCAGTACCAGCTCACAGCCTGGTAGACTTGCTGGGTGGCTAGATCCAGAAGAGAGATAACAATCATTACAGCTTGACCCTCAGGAAGCCACATCCATAGGAAAATGGGGAGAGTACTACATCAAGGCAACACCCTGTGGGACAAAAGAATCTGAACAACAGTTTTAGCCTTAGACCCTCCCTCTGACAGAGCCTACCCAAATGAGAAGGAACCAGAAAACCAACTCTGGTAATATGACAAAACAAGGCTCTTTAACAACCCCCAAAAATCACACTAGCTCACTAGTAATGGATCCAAACCAAGAAGAAATCCCTGATTTACCTGAAAAAGGATTCAGGAGGTTAGTTACTAAGCTAATCAGAGAGGCACCAGAGAAAGGTGAAGCCCAACACAAAGAAATCCAAAAAATGATACAAGAAGTGAAGGGAGAGACCAGGTGCAGTGGTTCATACCTGTAATCCCTGGGAGGCTGAGGTGGGCAGATCATTTGAGGTCAGGAGTTTGAGGTCAGCCTGGCCAACATGGTGAAACTCCATCTTTACTAAAAATACAAAAATTACCTGGGTGTGGTGGCGTGCACCTGTAATGCCAGCTACTTGGGAGGTTGAGGCAGGAGAATCACTTGAACCTGGGAGGCGGAGGTTGCAATGAGCTGAGATCATGTCACTGCACTCCAGCCTGAGCAACACAGTGAGACTTCGTCTCGAAAAAAAAAAAAGTGAAGGGAGAAATATTCAATGAAGCAGATAGCATAAATAAAAAACAATCAAAACTTCAGGAAACATTGGACACATATATAGAAATGCAAAATGCTCTGGAAAGTCTCACCAATAGAATTGAACAAGTAGAATAAGGAAATTCAGAGCTTGAAGGCAAGGTCTTTGAATTAAACCAATCCAACAAACACAAAGAAAAAAGAAAAAGAAAATATGAACAAAGCCTCCAAGAAGTCTGGGATTATGTAATGACCAAACCTAAGAATAATTGGCGTTCCGGAGTAAAAAGAGAAATCTAAAAGTTTTGAAAACGTATTTGGGGGAATAATCGAGGAAAACTTCCCTGGTCTTGCTAGAGGCCTAGACATCCAAACACAAGAAGCACAAAAAACACCTGGAAAATTCATCACAAAAAAGATCATTGCCTAGGCACATTGTCATCAAGTTATCTAAAGTTAAGGCAAAGGAAAGAATCTTCAGAGTTGTGAG
This sequence comes from Homo sapiens, assembly GCF_000001405.40. Lineage (NCBI taxonomy): Eukaryota > Metazoa > Chordata > Mammalia > Primates > Hominidae > Homo > Homo sapiens. The sequence goes on from NT_167246.2 coordinate 228,383, forward strand.
ACAAAACCACCAGGTAACCTATAAAGGAAAACCTTCAGATTAACAACAGATTTCTCAGCAGAAACCTTACAAGCTAGAAGGGATTGGGGCCCAACATTCAGCCTCCTCAAACAAAACAATTATCAGCCAAGAATTTTTTATCCTGCAAAACTAAGCATCTTATATGAAAGAAAGATAGTCTTTTTCAGACAAACCAATGCTGAGAGAATTTGCCACTACCAAGCCACCACTACAAGAACTGATAAAAGGTTCTCTAAATCTTGGCCAGTCGCGGTGGCTCACACCTGTAATCCCAGCACTTTGGGAGGCCGAGGCGGGTGGATCACCAGGTCAGGAGATCGAGACCATCCTGGCTAACACGGTGAGACCCCCGTCTCTACTAAAAATACAAAAAATTAGCCAGGTGTGGTGGCGGGCACCTGTAGTCCCAGCTACTCGGGAGGCTGAGGCAGGAGAATGGCGTGAACCCAGGAGGCAGGGCTTGCAGTGAGCCGAGATGGCGCCACTGCACTCCAGCCTGGGCGACAGTGCAATACTCCGTCTCAAAAAGAAAAAAAAAAAAGCGGAGGAAAACGGCATTTCATTCAAACGGACAATAAAATTGAGCAGGCGTAGCTATTCTTATATCAGACAAAACAAACTTTAAAGCAACAGCAGTTAAAAAAGACAAAGAGAGACATTATATAATGGTAAAAGGCCTTGTCTAACAAGAAAATATCACAATCCTAAACATGTGTGCACCTATGATTGAAGCTCCCAAATTTATAAAACAATTACTTAATAGCCCTAACAAATGAGATAGATGGCAACACAATAATAGCGAGGGACTTCAATACTCCACTGACAGTACTAGACAGGTCATCAAGACAGAAAGTCAGCAAAGAAACAATGGATTTAAACTATACCTTGGAACAAATGGACTTAACAGATATATACAAAACATTCCATTCAACAACTGCAGAATACACATTCTATTCAACAGCACATGAAACTTTCTCCAAGATAGACCATATGATAGGCCACAAAATGAGGCTCAATAAATTTAAGAAAATTCAAATTATATGAAGCACTCTCTCAGACTACAGTGGAATAAAACTGGAAATCAACTCCAAAAGGAACCTTCAAAACCATGCAAATACATAGAAATTAAATAAGCTGCTCCTGAATGAACATTAGGTCAAAAATGAAATCAAGATGGAAATTAAAAAATTCCTTGAACTGAACGACAATAGTGACAACCTATTAAAACCTCTGGGAAACAGCAAAGGCAGTGCTAAGAGGAAAGTTCATAGCCCTAAACACCTACATCAAGAAGACTGAAAGAACACAAACTGACAACCTAAGGTCACATCTCAAGGAACTGGAGAAACAAGAACAAACCAAACCCAAACACAGCAGAAGAAAGGAAATGACCAAGATCACAGCAGAACTAAATGAAATTGAAACAAACAAACAAAAAAATACAAAAGATAAATAAAACAAAAATCTGGTTCTTTGAAAAGATAAAATTGATAGACCTTTAGCAAGATTAACCAAGAAAAGAAGAGAGAAAATCCAAATAACTTCAATAAAAAATGAAATGGGAGATATTACAGCTGACACCACAGAAATACAAAAGATCATTCAAGGCTGCTATGAATACCTCTATACACATAAACTAGAAAACCTGGAAGAGATGGATAAATTCTTAGAAAGATGCAACCCTCCTAGCTTAAATCAGGAAGAATCAGATACACTGAACAGACAAATAACAAGCAGCGAGATTAAAATGATAACTACAAAATTACCAGGCCAAGCTGGGCATGGTGGCTTATGCCTGTAATCCCAGAATTTTGAGAGGCTGAGGTGAGTGGATCACCTGACATCAGGAGTTCGAGACCAGCCTGGCTAACATGGGGAAACCCCATCTCTACTAAAAATACAAAAAATTAGCTGGGTGTGGTGGTGGGTACCTGTAATCCCAGCTACTTGGGAGGCTGAGGCAACATAATCGCTTGAACCCAGGAGGCAAAGGTGTAGTAAGCCGAGGTCACACCATTGCACTCCAGCTTGGGCAACAAGAGTGAGACTCCGTCTCAAAAAAAAAAAAAACAAAAAAAAAATTACCAGGTCAGGCATGGTGACCCATGCCTGCAATCTCTTTGGGAGGCCAAGGCGGGTGGATCACCTGAGGTCAGGAGTTGGAGACCAGCCTGGCCAATATGGTGAAACTCTGTCTTTACTAAAAATACAAAATTAGCCGGTGGTGGTGGCGGGCCCCTGTAATCCCAATTACCTGGGAGTCTGAGGCAGAAGAATCCCAATTATCCAGGAGGCGAGGCTGCAGTGAGCCGAGATCATGCCACTGCACTCCAGCCTGGGTGACCGAGCGAGACTCCGTCTAAAAAAGACAAACAAACAAAAAACATTATCAACAAAAGAAGTTCAGTACCAGATGGATTCACAGCAGAATTCTACCAGACATTCAAAGAAGAATTGGTACCAATCCTATTGACGCTATTCCACAAGATAGAGGATGAGGGAACCCTCCCTAATTCATTCTATGAAGCCGGTATCACCCTAATACCAAAACCAGGAAAGGACATAACCAAAAAAGAAAACTACAGACCAATATCCCTGATGAACATAGATGCTCAAATCCTTAACAAAATACTAGCTAACCGAATCCAACAACATATCAAAAAGATAATCCACATTGATCAAGTGGGTTTCATACCAGGATGCAGGGATGGTTTAACATACACAAGTATGTGTGCAATAAATGTGATACACCACATAAACAGGGTTAAAAACAAAAATTACACAATCATCTCAATAGATGCAGAAAAAGCATTCAACAATATCAAGCATCCTTTTATGATTAAAATTCTTAGCAAAATCGGGATACAAGGGACATACCTCAACGTAATAAAAGCCATCTATGACAAACCTACATGCAACATAATCTGAATGGGGAAAAGTTGAAAGCATTCCCTCTGAGAACTGAAACAAAACAAGGATACCCACTGTCACCACTCCTCTTCAACATAGTACTGAAAGTCCTAGCCAGAGCAATCAGATAAGAGAAAGGAAGGGCATCCAAATCAGTAAAGAGGAACTCAAACTGTCACTATTTGTTGATGATATGATTGTTTACCTTGAACACCCTAAAGACTCCTCCAGAAAGCTCCTAGAATGGATAAAAGAATTCAGTAGTTTCTGGATATAAAATTAATGTACGCAAATCAGTAGCTCTTCTATACAGCAACAGCAACCAAGTGGAGAATCAAATCAAGAACTCAACCCCGTTTACAATAGCTGCAAAAACAATTAAAATACTTAGAAATATACCTAACCAAGGAGGAGAAAGACCTCTACAAGTAAAACTACAAAACACTGCTGAAAGAAATCATAGACAACACAAACAAATGGAAACACAACCCTTGCTCATGGGTAGAATCAATATTGTGAAAATGATCAAACTGCCAAAAGCAATCTATAAATTCAATACAATTCCCATCAAAATATCACCATCATTCTTCACAGAATTAGAAAAAAAAATCCTAAAATTCATATGGAATGGAAAAAGAGCCCACATAGCCAAAGCAAGACTAAGCAAAAAGAACAAATCTGGAGGCATCACATTATCTGATTTCAAACTATACTATAAGGCCATAGTCACCAAAACAGCATGGTACAGGTATAAAAATAGGCACATAGACCAATGGAACAGTAGAGATCCCAGAAATAAACCCAAATACTTACAGCCAACTGATCTTCCACAAAGCAAACAAAAACATAATATGGGGAAAGGACACTCTTTTCAACAAATGTGCTGGGATAATTGGCTAGTCACATGTAGGAGAATGAAACTGGATCCTCATCTCTCACCTTATACAAAAATCAACTCAAGATGGATTAAGGACTTAAATCTAAGACCTGAAACTATAAAAATTCTGGAAGATAACATTGGAAAAACCCTTCTAGACATTGGCTTAGGCAAGGATTTCATGCCTAAGAACCCAAAAACAAATGCAATAAAAACAAAGATAAATAGTTGGGACTTAATTAAACTAAAGAGCTTTTTCACAGCCAAAGGACAGTCAGCAGAGTAAACAGACAACTCACAGAGTGGGAGAAAATCTTCACAATCTATACATCTGACAAAAGACTAATATCCATAATCTACAATGAACTCAAACAAATCAGTAGGGAAAAGAAACAAACAATCCCATCAAAAAGTGGGCTAAGGACAGGAATAGACAATTCTCAAAAGAAGATATCCAAATGGCCAGCAAACATATAAAAAATGCTCAACACCACTAATGATCAGGGAAATGCACATCAAAACTACAATGTGATACCACCTTACTCCTGCAATAATGACCATAATCAAAAAAATCAAAAAACAGTAGATGTTGGTGTGGATGCGGTGATCAGGGAACACTTCTACACTGCTGGTGGGAATGTAAACTAGTACAACCACTGTGGAAAACAGTGGGGGAGATTTCTTAAAGAACTAAAGTAGAGCTACCCTTTGATCCAGTAATCCCACTACTGGGTATCTACCTAGAGGAAAAAAAGTCATTAAACAAAAAAGATACTTGAACATGCATGTTTATAGCAGCACAATTCACAATTGCAAAATTGTGGAGCCAACTCAAATGCCTGTCAATCAATGAGTGGATAAAGAAACTGTGGTATATATATACAATGGAATACTACTTAGCAATAAAAAGGAATGAATTAATGGCATTTGCAATGACCTGAATGGGATTGGAGACTATTCTTCTTTTTTTTTTTTTTTTTTTTTTTTTTTTGAGACGGAGTCTGTCTCTGTCCCCAGGCTCAAGTGCAGTGGCATGATCTCGGCTTGCTGCAACCTCTGCCTCCTGGGTTCAAGTGATTCTCCTGCCTCAGCCTCCCAAGTAGCTGGAATTACAGGCGCCTAACACTATGAATGGCTAATTTTTGTATTTTAGTAGATACAGGGTTTCACCTTGTTGGCCAAGCTGGGTTTGAACTGCTGACCTCAGGTGATCTGCCTGCCTCGGTCTCCCAAAGTGCTGGGATTACAGGTGTGGGCCACTGTGCCTGACCTTGGAGACTATTATTTTAAGTGAAGTAATTTAGGAATGGAAAACGAAACATGATATGTTCTCACCAATAAGCTATGAGGATGCAAAGGCATAAGAATGATACAATGGACTTTGGGGGAAGGGTGGGAGGAGAGTGAGGAATAAAATACTACAAATAGGGTGCAGTGTATACTTCTCGGGTGATGGGTGCACCAAAATCTCACAAATCACCACTAAAGAACTTACTCGTGTAACCAAACGCCACCTGTTCCCCAATAACTTATGGAAAAATTCATAAATAAATAAATTAGTTAATTATGAAAAAGAAAACTAACCATTGGATCTAGCAAGATGGAGGTTGCTGGGATTTGACAAGGAAGTTTCAGTGGAATGGAGGGGAGGAAACCTTGGTTTAGAGTGTGACAAAGAAAGGAGCGCAGTTAGGAGTATTCTCTATTCATTCACCTATTCATATTCAGATACGCCTTTGCAAAGATTATCACAGTGAGAGAAATCTAACATGGCTCACTCCATCTTGCTTCTTTCTACCTTCACAGGCTGATCATCCTCACTCATTCTTAGGTGTAGGCCAAGCTAACCATTGGAGGAATTTAGTTTATAGTTTAAGTTGGAAGCAAAGATGATAATATCCCTCCTTGTTTGGGGTGCTAAAACTGCCTTTGTAAGACAAATGAAAGACCATAAAATTAGGATTCTGAAAGGGGCCTGAATTCTGCTAAAATGTAGGTATAGTTTCTATAATCCCTTACGGCTCAGGAGTCATGTGGTCAGAGGTCACATGATCTGTGACTTCTCCAGTTGTTCCTATAGATAACATCACTATATAGATCCTAAGATTGGTCTTAAAGATGCTTTTCAGACTTTTGTATTCTACCAACCGACTGACCCCACCTGGATTTGGGACTCACAACTCAACTGATCCTATACCTCCCTCCAACCCTCCACGAGAGGTGAACTCAGCACATGAGGACCGTTTTCCACACCCCTGTGATTGCATCCCCAACCAATCAGCAGCACTCATTCCTTTGTTCCCTGCCCACCAAACTATCCTTGAAAAACCCTAACTTCTAAACCTTCAGGAAGACTGATTTAAGCAATAACTCCATCTTCCACGTGGCTGGCCTTGTGTTAATTAAACTGGTTTTTTTGTTTGTTTGTTTGTTTGTTTTTTACCTCCGAACTTCCTATTGGTCTCCTGCGCCCCAGAGGGTACCCTGCTTTTGCCAACTTGATGTCTCAGAACTTTGGTGTCCTTGGTCTCAGACACCACTTTGCCATCCACTCACTATCGGGCGGGTGGTGGTCTTTCGGATGGTTTGCATGGAGTTGCTGCTGTCCAGGGCATCACGAAGGCTGAAGTCCTCGCCATCTTCCAGCAGGCGGCGGTAGGTGGCGATCTCAGCCTCCAGCTTTACCTTGATGTTCAGCAGGGCCTCGCACTCCTGGGCCTGGCGCTATCCGTCTGCCCCGGTCTGTGTCAGCTCTGACTCCAGGTGCAGCAGGATTCCGCTGAGCTGCTCCATCTGCAGGACATAGCGGGCCTCCACCTCCCTCAAGCTGTTCTCCAAGCTGGCCTTCAGATTTCTCATGGAGTCCAGGTCGATCTCCAAGGACTGGACTGTATATCTCTGCTCCGTGAGCGTCATCTCAGCAGCTCCAACACCGATGGACTGCATGGTGACCACTGTGGTGCACTCTCAATCTGCTGAGGCCAGTGCTTGTCTAGCTCCTCTCGGTTCTTCCAAGACAGCTCGTCTTATTGGGCCCAGATGTCTGCCATGATCTTGGCGAGGTCCTGAGATTTGGGGACATCTACCTCCACGGTCAACCCAGAGATGGCAATCTGGGCTTGTAGGCCTTTTACTTCCTCTTCTTGGTTCTTCTTCAGGAAGAGCAGCTCCTCCTTGAGAGCCTCGATCTCTGTCTCCAGCTGCAGCCGAGTGACATTGGTATCATCAATGACCTTGCGGAACCCATGGATGTCGCTCTCCACAGACTAGCGCATGGCCAGCTCTGTCTCACACTCGACTCTGAAGTCAACAGCAGCAAGTCGGGCATTGTCAATCTGCAGAACGATGCGGGCATTGTCCACAGTATTTGATCTGAGCCCCCAGGTCCTCCATGGTCTTGAAGTAATTTGTCCAGTCTCCGACCTGGCGTCCCTTCTTCTCCAGGTGCTCCCGGATTTTGCTCTCCAGCTTCCGGTTCTTGGTCTCCATGCTTCTCACTCTGTCCAGGTAGGAGGCCAGGCGGTCCTTCAGGCTTTGCATGGTCTCCTTCTCGTTCTGGATGCCTCCCATTCCTGCCAGAACCCCAGCCATCCCTGCCGCCAGGCCTCCAGACCCCATGCCGCCCCAGAAGCTGGTGGAGGGGGACGCGGAGATCCGGGAACCAGAGCCCCCGGCGCCTGCATAGACGCTGGCCGCGCTGCAGACTGGCTGGGAACCGTAGCTGGGCGCCTGGACAGAGCCCAGGGACCGGTAGTTGGTGGAGAAGGTGGAGCGAGTGGTGAAGCTCTTGCTGTCCGGGGAGGAGAGCGAGAGGACAGGACTCAGGCTTTGCTGACGACCAATTAAACTCTTAAACGCAATACCACAGTCTCAGTGAAATGATTTTGTCTGTGCAGGGTGGGGGCAGGAAGAACCTGTCTGGTGATTACATGACCAATGATTGTGAGTGAGACAAAGGTTTTGTAAGCTACTAATGCTGATAATTAATCATGAAATTTAAGTTGTGTAAAGAGGGAAGTAAAGATGTAAGGAGAAAGGAGATGCATTAAATAATTTTCCACTGGGCAAAAGAAAATAAGCTGAAAAAACAGAAGGTGATAATCAGTATAAGAGATGATTGAAATTTACATCTTGGGCTTGGTGCCTGCAGTTTAGGTTAATGTCAAGGTCAAGGGTAGTGTGTTTTTCAAAATGTATATTGTGACACCCTTGTGGCACATGAAGTTAATTGAGTGGATCATGAGTAGAATTTTGATTTTAGTGAAAGAGAATGGAATGCAAAATGTCCCAGTGCATTGCAAATAAATAAGAGTTGTGTTGTAACCTATACTTATATTTTTTATTATGGGTTCCACTAAAAAAGTTTGAAAAACAGAATGGGATATTTAGAAATGAAAAAGTCAAGGACCTGGGGGAGACTAATGGCTGAGGGAATGCATGTCCCCCTGCACACCTGAAACCCATTTACTAGACAAGGTTTGGGAAGCTCTTTGGTGTATCCACTATACAGAAAGGGAAGGAAGACACCATGAGTAAGATTTGTTTCTCACGAGTTTCATATATACCTGGAAAAGGTGAGAAGTCATAGAAGCTGGCTTTTGACAGAATAATGCAGGCACATTTACTGAAACCATGATTTTTAAAGCAGGAAGAAATCATAGTTCTCAAATTAAGGAAAGTGAGCATATTTCTTTCTACAAAAAGACTATCTTAGATTTTATGTCGAAATATACTCGTGGTTGGGCATGACGGCTCATGCCTGTAATCCCAGCACTTTGGGAGGCTGAGATGGGTGGATCACTCGGCGTCAGGAGTTCCAGACCAGAGTGGCCAAAGCGGTGAAAATCCATCTCTACTAAAAACACAAAAAATTAGGCTGGGCACAGTGGCTGACACCTGTAATCCCAGCGCTTTGGGAGGCTGAGGCAGGCAGATCACTTGAGATCAGGCGTTCAAGACCAGCCTGGCCAAAATGGTGAGACCCTCCCCCCACCCCCGACTCCGTCTCTACTGAAAATACAAAAATTAGGTGGTGGAAGTTGAAGTGAGCCAAGATCGCCCCACTGCACTCCAGCCTGGGCAACAGAGCAAGACTCTGTCTAAAAAAAAAAAAAAATATATATATATATATACATATACACACACACACACACATATGTGTACATATATATATATTTGTGCTATTATTTTCTTATCCTTTTTTAAATCTTCCCTTTTCTCCTCATTCTCCTTCCTCTTTCCTCCTCAATTTGTGAGATTTCTAAATACAGAGTCAATTCTTTTTGAGCATGTTAAGGAGAGGATTACTATCAAGCACCCCCATCAGCTTTGTAGGCTTCTTTTCACTGGGCTCCAAATTCAGTCTTGCTGACTCTGGTAACTTCAAAACATTTTAGCATGCAATAGCATTTCTTTGTTTTGTTTTGTTTTGTTTTGTTTTTGAGATGGAGTCTTGCTCTGTCGCCCAGGCTGGAGTGCGGTGGCGCGATCTCGGCTCACTGCAAGCTCCGCCTCCCGGGTTCACGCCGTTCTCCTGCCTCAGCCTCCCAAGTAGCTGGGACTACAGGCGCCCACCACCACGCCCGGCTAATTTTTTGTACTTTTAGTAGAGACCAGGTTTCACCGTGTTAGCCAGGATGGTCTTGATCTCCTGACCTCGTGATCCGCCCGCCTCGGTCTCCCAAAGTGCTGGGATTACAGGCGTGAGCCACCGCACCCGGCTAGCATGCAATAGCATTTCTTCATCTGAATGAAATACTGTGTTAAGGCATCAGACTCAAAGTTCGTTATTCTTTTGTTTTCTTATTTTTTCAAATCTCACGTCTTCAGAAGAAAAGTATCATCTTGGAGAAGACTTGCTGCTTCTGATGGCAGGCGACTAGCATCATCACATCTGCATCCTTTTCAATCTTTTCCTCTCTTTTACTTCCCACATCTTATGACCTTTTTTTTTTTTTTTTGAGACGGAGTCTCTCGCTCTGTTGCCCAGGCTGGAGTGCAGTGGCGCGATCTCGGCTCACTGCAAGCTCCGCTTCCCGGGTTCACGCCATTCTCCTGCCTCAGCCTCCCGAGTAGCTGGGACTACAGGCGCCCGCCACCATGCCCGGCTAATTTTTTGTATTTTTAGTAGAGATGGGGTTTCACCATATTAGTCAGGATGGTCTCGATCTCCTGACCTCGTGATCTGCCTGCCTCGGCCTCCCAAAGTGCTGGGATTACAGGCGTGAGCCACCATACCCGCCCTAAGGGAGTGTAATTTTGTCTAGTTCTGAGTTGTTTTTTTGTTTGTTTGTTTTGTTTTTTTTGAGGCGGTGTCTCTCGCTCTGTCGCCCAGGCTGGAGTGCAGTGGCCTGATCTCGGCTCACTGCAAGCTCCGCTTCCCGGGTTCATGCCATTCTCCTGCCTCAGCCTCCCGAGTAGCTGGGACTACAGGCGCCCGCCACCACGCCCGGCTAATTTTTTGTATTTTTAGTAGAGACGGCATTTCACCATATTAGCCAGGATGGTCTCCATCTCCTGACCTCGTGATCCGCCCACCTCGGCCTCCCAAAGTGCTGGGATTACAGGCTTGAGCCACCGCACTCAGCCTGAGGGAGTGTAATTTTGTCTAGCTCTGAGTTGTTTTTGTTTGTTTGTTTTGTTTTGTTTTGTTTTTTTGAGATGGAGTCTCTCGCTCTGTCGCCCAGGCTGGAGTGCAGTGGCCCGATCTCGGCTCACTGCAAGCTCCGCCTCCCGGGTTCAAGCTATTCTCCTATCTCAGTCTCTCGAGTAGCCGGGACTACAGGTGCCGGCCACCATGCTCAGCTAATTTTTGTATTTTTAGCAGGGACGGGGTTTCAGCATGTAGGCCAGGATGGTCTCAATCTCCCGACCTTGTGATCTGCCCACCTCGGCCTCCCAAAGTGCTGGGATTACATACAGGCGTGAGGCACAGCGCCCGGCCCCGTACTTCCCACATCTTATGAATTCTGTGTCTTCAGTTCTTCTGAGTCTGTTTCCTTTATTCTAATACAAGATTACCACCACCGTTTTACATGAGACTTTTTCCCTCCTCTTCCTTCTCCTCTTTCTGTATCTTTCCTGGATTACTGCAACAGCCTCCAGTTTGGTTGATTTGCTTCTAGCCCTGCTTGTCTCCCATTGTTTCTCTATACAGGGAGTCCCACTGGTGCCCTACAAAAAAAGATTTCCAGAGAAGGTGAATGGGGGCTGAAATATGACCTGAGCACTGAGAGCTAAGAGTCCTGGAGAGAGGACTTTTGACATTTTCCCTTTTCTATGCTTCATCAGCCCTGAGGGTTGTCTTTCTGTAATTCATCCACCAAAATGGCTTACTGTGGCATTTTTTTTTTATTTTATTATTATTTTTTTGACACAGAGTCTCACTGTGTTTCCCAGGCTGGAGTGCAGTGGTGGGATCTTGGCTCACCGTTGTCTCTGCTTCCTGGGTTCAAGCCATTCTCCTGCCTCAGCCTCCCGAGTAGCTGGGATTACAGGCATGCGCCACCATGTATTTTTAGTAGAGATGGGGTTTCACCATGTTGGCCAGGCTGGTCTCGAACTTCCGACCTTGGGTGATCCGCCCACCTGGGCCTCCCAAACTGCTGGGATTAGAGGCCTGAGCCACTGCGCCCAGCCTTACTGTTGCATTATTTGCCCAAAGGCACTCTGTGTGCTAGCTGTGGCTCTGCTTCCACAGAACTGGCAAGAAGAGCTTGCAAAAATACCCGTCATACTGACCTCTCTGTTCAGAACACTTTTCTGTCTCTCCATAGCCTTTTAGGGAAAGCTCAAAGTATTTAGTATTGTCAAGATACGGCTCACAGTTTGTTCTTACTTCCTACCAATATACAAGAGACAATTCCAAATGGAGTGATAGACAGAATAATGCTATTTCCACCCAAAAATATGCCCCTTCTAACCCTTGGAAACTGTAAATATGTTAACTTACATGGCAAAGGGACTTTGAGATGTGATTAAGGTTAGGGAACTTGTGATGGAGAGATGATCCTAATCACTAGAGTCTTAAAAGTGGAAAGAGGAAGCAGAAGAGTAGTTCAGGGAGGTGTGATCTGAGGACGCCATCCACCATTGCTGGTTTTAAAGAGCCCAGCAACACAGCAGCCTTTAGAAGCTGGGAGTGGCCATTAGCTTACAGGCAGCAATAAAACAGAGACTTTGATCCAACAACTGCAAACAACTGAATTTTGCCAATAATCTGAATGAGCAGAAAACAGATTCTCCCTTGGGGCCAACAGAAAGGAATGCAGCCTGCCAATACCTTGATTTTAGCACAGTGAGACCATACCAGACTTCTGTCTTAAAAAACTCTAAATAATAAATTTATGTTTTTTATAACCACTACATTTGTGGTAATGTGTTATGACAGCAATAGAAAACTAACACATGTCTTGAAATGCCAGCCGTTTTACTATTTCTTACAATTCTGTGAATAGACTGGGCTTACCTGGGTGATTCTGCTCCACATGATGTCAGTAAGGACTCCATTCCTCTGAAGGCTTGATTGAGCTAGGGATGTTCAAGATGGCTCACTCACATAACTGGCAGTGGCAGTTGATGTTGCTAGGACCTCAGTCAGTTGAGACTGTGACCCACAGTGCCTAGCCATGGCCTTTTCATGTGGCTTGGGTTTCTCATGGCATGGTGACTGGATTCTGAGAGGGAGCATCCCAAGATTTAGCATTCCAGAAAACCAAGTCAGAAGGTGCAAGATTTCACATGGCTTAGCCCTGGAACTGGCACAGTATCACCTCAATGAAATAATTTTGTTAGGTCAGCCAAGATTCACTGTGGGAATGGACTACAAAAGGGTGTAACGACCGAAAAATATGCTGCATTGAGGTCAGTTTTTGGAGACTGTATACTACACAAAGTAACGATTTTTTCCTTTGTAGCCTCATCTTTATCCTTTTTTTTTGTTTTTTTCAGATGGAGTCTCACTCTGTCACCCAAGCTGGAGTGCAGTGGCACAATCTCAGCTCACTGCAACCTCTGCCTCCAGGGTTCAAGCGATTCTCATGCCTCAGCCTCTCAAGTAGCTGGGATTATAGGTGTGTGCCACCACACCTGGCTAATTTTTGTATTTTTAGTGTGTGTCGGTGGCGGGGGGTCTCACCAAGTTGCCAAGGCTGGTCTTGAACTCCTGACCTCAGGTAATCCTCCTGCCTTGGCCTCCCAAAGTGCTGGGACTACAGGCCTCAGCCACTGCTTCATCTTTTTACTTTGGTCCATGAACCTTTGATTTTCTGCTCAGGTCTACTTGAACTAGGAACTAGTAATTTTCCCAGGCATTCATACCTTTTTAGCTTTGCTTCTGTCAGGACTTGATGGTAAAAATTTTTCCATGCCCTTCTTTATGTGCCTAATTATAGCTTATCTTTAAGACATATTTCAGGTAGCACCTCATCCAGTAAGCCATTCTTGTTCAGATTAGGTGCCTGTATTGGTGATCTTGTACACAGTACCCTGCCCTTACACCTATGGAAGAACTTAGGAGTAAATCTTCACTCTCACTGATTTACTTGTCTCTATTCTTTTTTAAAATTTATTTATTTATTTATTTATTTATTTATTTACTTTTTTGAGACGGAGCCTCACTCCGTCGCCCAGGCTGGAGTGCAGTGGCGCGACCTCGGCTTACTGGAAGCTCCGCTTCCCGGGTTCCCACCATTCTCCTGCTTCAGCCTCCCGAGTAGCTGGGACTACAGGTGCCCACCACCACGCCCGGCTAATTTTTTGTATTTTTAGTAGACACAGGTTTTCACCATGTTAGCCAGGATGGTCTCCATCTCCTGACCTCGTGATCTGCCTGCCTCGGCCTCCCAAAGTGCTGGGATTACAGGCGTAAGCCACCAGGCCCGGCCGTCTTCTATTCTTTAACAGGCCATAAGCTCCTTAGAGGAGTGCATTTTGTACTCTCAGATTCCCCAGGTAGACCTACTGTATATGGCACAGAAAAGGGTCTCAGTTAATGTTGGCTGACAGAAGGAGTGATTGAACAATTATCTGTACATATTTACCACTTACACAAGGTGGAAATGCACCCAACATGAAATCGTACAAATGTCATGGCTTCCACCATGGAAAAAATTATGTATGCGTGAGGACAAGAGCTAAAAAACAAGAAAGAAAATGTCTAGAGTCACTTGTGAGGCTGGAACTGTGGTTTTCTTTCTTTCCTTTCTTTCTTTCTCTGTTTCTTTCCTTTCTTTCTTTCTTCCTTTCTTTCTCTTTCTCTCTCTTCTTTCTCTCTCTCTTTCTTTCTCTCTCTTTCTCTTTCTTTCTCTCTCTTTCTTTCTTTCTTTCTTTTCTTTTCATGTTCTAATATTATAATGATGTGACAAGAACTTGTAGAACCATCAGGTCCAAAAGCATCAACAACCTTGTCACTTGCAGCGTGGGCTGCTGATCAGCAACACTGACCTAACCTGGGAGTTTCTCACAAATGCAGAATATCTACACCCCATCCTACACCTACAGCGTTAGAACTCTTCATTTTAGCAAGCTCCCCAGGTGATTTCATATACGTATTGAAGTCTGTGAAACCCACTCAACACAGTCCTTCACTCTTTCCCTTATTAAATTTACAGCTGTTTGTTTAATTGACCTTTTTGTAAAGGTTCCGAGGACAACATAGTAAGGGATGCTCATTCATCTCTCTGCCAGTGCTTTCTGCGGTCTCTTCAGCTAGTTCTATCAGGCACTTCTGGCAATCTGGAGCGGCAGCCGGCTGGGCGGCGAGGAAACCGCTGCACGGATCCCGCCTCCCAGCACACGCAGTCGGCAGTTGCAGCCTCCAAGACCGCGGTGCCACCAAACCAAGCGCCGGACGCGGTGGCGCGCGCCTGTAATCCCAGCTCCCCGGGAGGCTGAGGTCGGCGGATCGTGGGTGCTCGGGGGTTCGGAGCTACGGCGCTGTGTGGAGCGGGCGTCCGCACCGGGCCTGGCACCAACATGGTACTCCCGGGGGAGCCCGGGAGTACCAGGTTGTCTAAGGAGGGGGGGACCAGGCCCAGGCCGGACACGGAGCAGGTCAAACTCCCCGTGTTGGGCGACGGTGGGACCGCGCCTGCGAGCAACGCCTGCAGTTCCGCCCGGGACATCCGACGAGACCCGGTCTCTTTTAACTTCCCTTTTCGGGATTTCTTTTAAAAAATCAACAGCATTATTTCTGCATACCAAGTGAGTTCACTGGTGGGACTGGTATATGCTACCCTTTGCTCGATCTTCCTTTTTTTTTTTTTTACCCCTCAGGGAATGATGATTCATTCAGTCAGTGGGAGCCGGAAGAAACTCGTTAGTGACTTATCATCTTGGAAATTTCTCCATGTTGCACTCTTCCTTTCCCCAAACAACAAGACAGTAGTCTGTTTTGCATTTTGCAAATGCAGTTGCATAAGAATTTAACAAAGACTATTCGCTTGGCCAAACTTTAGTCAGGCTTCTGAATCTTCTGCTAGGCCCATCTGTGCACTTCCTTGTAACGTCCAGTTTTAGCAAAGAACCCTGCCAAGTCAGTTTAGCAAGAACCCCCATATCATCTATGTTTAACCTCCATTTCTGATCAGGCTCCTCATTCTCCACCATCCCCCAGATGATTGATGTCTGATTACCTTGGCCTGTCTTCAGCAAGAATCCTGTTAGGTTTGTTTGGCCAGAATTCCCCTTACCTCTGAGGTTTTCTCTTGGTAATTTCCTGTCCACTGACCAGGACACACTGCTCCTTGGCTATAAATTCCCATTTGCCCATGCTATATTCAGAACTGAGGCCGATCTCTTTCCCTCACTGCAAAACCTCCTTGCAATGGTCCCTTGTGCCTATCCCGATAGTCCTGAATAGTCTTCCTTACATTGCTTTCAGAAGTATCACTAAATAATTTTTTTAAAAAACAAATTGCATGGCATGAGAACTTCATAATCTAAGACAGAGATTTGGAAAAGGTTTGAACTTCCAGCTTTTTCAGGAACTTCCCACATAAAAACCTGTACACAACTATTCTTATCGGATTGGATAAAACACCTAAAGAGACATTTCACCGAAGAAGATATACAGATGGCAAACGAGCACATAAAAATGTTTTCAACATCCTTAGCACTAGGGAAATACAAATTACGACCAAGATGAGATATCACTATACATCTATCAGAATGACTAAAATAAAAATAGTGGCAACAACCAAATGCTGATGAGGCTGTATACATGTAGGTGGGAATGTGAAATGTAGCTGTTCTGGAAAACAGTTGGCAGTTTCTTAAAAAGCTAAATGTGCAAGTACCATACCACCCGGCAGCTGCACTCCTGGACATTTATCTTGGCTAAACGAAAATTTATATTAACACTAAAACCAGTATGCAAATGTTTATGGTAGCTTTATTTGTAAAAGTCAAAAGCTGAAAATGACTCAAATGTCTTTCAGCAGGTGAATGTTCAAACTGGTAAATTCATACCACAGAATGCTAGTGAGCGAGAAATAAGAATGAACTACTGATGCTGAACAACCTAGATGAATCTCTAGAGAATTACACTGAGTGCAAAAAGCCAATCCTAATAGGTTACATAATGTATGATTCCATTTTCATAACATTCTCGAAATGATGAAATCATAAAAGTGAAAAACAGATTACTAGTTGCCAGAGGTTGAGGCAGGAACAGTAGGCAAGTGGGTGTGGCTGTAAAAGGGCCAAAAGGAATCCTTGTGGTGATGGAAATGTTTTGCATCTTGACTTTATCAATATCAATATCAATATCCGGATTGTGATTTTGTGCTATAGTTTTGCAAGATGTTACCATTGGGGGCAAGCAGGTAAAGGGGACATGGGACCTCTCCATATTATTTCTTATAACTGCATGTGAATCTACGACTACCTAAAAATTAAACATTTAATTTAAAAAAAGACCAAAGTCATTAAAATTGGAGGGATAGGGAGCTGAAAGGGAAGAGCAAGAGAGTATGGAGAAAAATAATGGAGAGTCAAGTTGATACAGGAGATACAAAGAAATTGCTTAGGTAGTTAGGGCAAAAGAGTCCTCGGCAGAACTTCTCTTCTAACAAAAAGCAGCCCTAGAAATTATTCCTTTTCTAACAAAGAGCAGCCTGCAAGATGGAGCTGCAGACATAGATAAGGAAGCTGGAAACTTGCATGGGGGAAGGCTGGCAGCTGCACCGATAGAAAAGGTCTACCTGGGGGTGAGGCATGTCCACCATGAGGCTCCACCTTCCCTTTTTTGTTAGCATGTGTACAGTAAGAAAGAAATGGGCAACATGGAGAAGTTCAGGCAGAGAACCCACCTGCATAATAACAGATTGGGGTGAGGGTTGCCAGAGATTCACACCCTATGCAGTTGGCACACCTGGTCCTATCTGGGTTTTTCATGCCTTATGTAGATCAGACACCATCTCCCCACTAGCTCATCTGTAAAACCCCCTGCATTTCACCGAATTTCGGCAACCCATTTTTCCAGGACCCCTCTCTGTAGCAGAGAGATATTTTCTTTCTTTCGCCTATTAAATTTCCACTCTTAACCTCTCTGTGTGTCCAGGTCCTTGATCTCTGTGGCTGTGAGACGATGAATCTAGGGTGTCACCCCAGACAACGAGGCTGCTTCAAAATCCCAAAGTCCAAAGGAGGACTGCTTCATAAGGGAAGGATTGTTTATAGGTTGGTATACTGTGCAAAATTAAGTATAGGACCAAAAACAGCCAAGACATTTGAAAGTTGGAAAGTTGATGGTAATGGTTTCCTGGGATTGGAAGGCAGACCTCCTCCGCTGATGAGCAAATAATGAGGTAAACATTGTTCTTTCAACAGGTTTGGTGCTGAGTGGAAGGAAAGAGTCTGAGGATAATGCATAAGGTCATGTGTTCCATTTTTGTTGTCCAAAGATAGAGGTTTAGACATTCTGTAATTTGAAGAGAGGCACGTAAGGAGGAGAGAGATGAAAGACACAAACATAGAGCAAAATGGAATGGGTAGAGGGTTCAAAAGCTCAGATGGAATATTAAGTAGACTTGGAAATGAGAGACCATTCCTCCGAGTAGGAAGACAGGGGTTGAATATGCCAAGAGCTAGCAAATTAGGAGGTTAGGAAAAAGGTGGCTGAGGGAATATGCTGGCTGTCTCCCTTTCACAGCGCAGCAGCCACCCCTCCCCTCCCCCACCTCTAGCAAGTAGCCACTTTTTCAACAGCTTAGGCGGCTCCTTTTTCCAGGAAACTTCCCTTCAGTTCACCGGCCGTGCCTCTCTCTATCCTTTTCCTCGGAGCAGGCTGTGCTATGATCAAGGCATTGTGACCCCTGTGACCCACACGTACACATCCAGAAGGTCTCCTGGAGCCAGAAAGTCTGGGACAACAGGAAAACCACAAAAGAAGAAAAACAGCTCCTGTCTTAGCTGATTAGCCAACCTTGCGACCTTCTACCATTGTAACATGCTCTACCCTAACTGATCAATCAACTTCGTGACACTGTGCTCTGTGACCCCTCCCACCTTGTGATAATGTACCTTGTGACATTCTTCCCTTGCCCGCAATAAACGGGCCCTTATTGTATCTTTCCACTGCTTACTCCTAACCTATAAAACTAGCTGCAATCCCACCACCCTCCGGTGGTGGGACTCCCTTTTCGGACTCAGCCCGCTCGGACCAGAGTGAATAAACAGCTTGTTGCTCACACTTAGCCTGTTCAGGTTGTCTCTTCAGTTAGACGCGCGCATAACACTAACAATTCACTTAATAAATATTTATTGAGGGAACAGAGGTCGCAAATAAAATGTAATTAGTATTGCTCAAGATTAAACTTCTTTCAGCACGTTTGCCTTTTCTTCTTTTATCTAGTGAGATGTTGAAACCCATACCTAGAGTTCTGCTACAGAAATAAACGTATCCCACAGTGTTCTTGCGATTTCCTTTATGAATTTGAGAAAAATATGACCCCATTTTAGGTTCTAAGGAGTGTTTCTGTATTGTAGAAGGAAAATTCCATATTTGTATTGCCGTGGGCACAAAAAACCGAGCGCTCTCATGCCGAAACCCGGGATCGAACCAGGGACCTTTAGATCTTCAGTCTAACGCTCTCCCAACTGAGCTATTTCGGCTCCGCCCACGCCACTTAAAAATAAGGCTTAATGAATTTATTACTTATGTTTTTTATTTACTATTAGGTATTTATTAAAAAAAAAACCCACAATGACAGGTACTCCGAAGGAACCAAAGACAAATTAAAAAATTATTTCGTTCTTCAAATGGCTCACCACTTTATGCAAAGAAAAGCAAGAAGACAATTACAAATTGATGCTACAATTTATTCTCGGTTGAATGCACACATCGAAACAGAGCACGTTCCATCATCCAGTTACGAACTTCCCAAATTACTCTTATGGCATTGCCACGCCCTCTGCCGTCCAGATTTTATTGGTTGGTGCAAAACAGGAGGTCAGTGAATACGAGAGCATGACCGTGCACTAACTCGTCGGAAAAGTAGAAGTCAACTGTGTGCGTATGTGTTGAGTTCTCGCTTCATAAATATGTTTTAATAAACCTACTTCAGCTTCCCTGGTGGTCTAGTGGTTAGGATTCGGCGCTCTCACCGCCGCGGCCCGGGTTCGATTCCCGGTCAGGGAATGAGGTTTTTCTGTTTTAACCTCCAAATTCTTTCATCCAGGAACGAAATCTCTGAGTAAACAGCAAATTGTGGATAAGTTAACTTTCAATTTTCATAGGAGGCATTTTCTGCATAGAAACCCTGTTCCTGTTTTAGTATTCCAGGTACAAAATGACAAGCAATGTAATTTTCAATTATTTTAAAACATTTATTAATGAATACTTAATCTAGCGTAGACCGAGTGTCCGGCATTGTTCTAAGTAAGCGCTTTAACATTTTTAACTCAATTGGGTGATTCAGTAAGCGGGAAATTCCGGAGACAATCCATTAGGAGTTAGTTGAGATTAGCATAACCTTTTGAAAAGACAGTTATGAAGATGACAGAGAAGAAATGGCGAAGTCATTTCTGGGAGATTTGATCGCTGTGTTCAAGCTTCTGAAGCTGCTAGAGCCTCGGTGGTTTAGACACCTACTCTATCTTCCTCGGATTTCTCTGTAAGTTTCACGCTGCTCCAACTGGGCGCTAGGGGATAGCCCTAGAAATACCTACACAGTAATTTAATATTCTGGGCCAAAGCAGTTTCAGGACTGCTTCATCTCTCCAGCGCTTCAACCTTTTTTCCCCTATGAAGGTACAAATTATGTTTTTTTCCTAAGAGAGGATAGGAGAAGGTCATAAACATGAAATTAAAACCTGCTGTCACAAAACTGAGAAACAGGCAAACAATGAATTCAGCACCATCTCTGAATGCACATTTGGTAAATTTACCGAGAGCTACTGGAGAAAAAGCAGACTTTTTGTTTCTCTCCTGACAAGGTTTGGTGACCCTGTGCTAACTGGTTCCTGTCTGACAATATCGGGGCATGAATCTTTGTTTCTTGGTCTGTCTAAAGAGCAGCTATTGCTTATTATTTCTTTCTTATATCTGCTAAGAGTTTGGGGCACGTATGACTTCTCTACAAGTTTCCAAACAAAGATCGTGGTGCTCCTGATCTTATTTCACCAACAAATGGAATATGTGATTTTTTGTTTGTTTTTTGAAATGGAGTCTCTCTTTGTCGCCCAGGCTGGAGTGCAGTGGCCCGATCTCAGCTCACTGCAACCTCCGTTTCCCGGGTTCAAACAATTCTCCTGTCTCGGCCTCCCGAGTAGCTGGGATTAAAGGCACGTGCCACCACTCCAGGTTAATTTTTGTATTTTTAGTAGAGACGCGGTTTCACCATGTTGGCCAGGCTGGTCTCGAACTCCTGATCTCAAGAGACCCACCCGCCTCAGCCTCCCGAAGTGCTGGGATTACAGGCGTGAGCCACCGCTTCCAGCCAGGATGTGATGTTGTTATGATCCAGTTAAATGAAGCAGGACTTTTTCTAATTAATTGCACTTTCTCTTCTCTTCCCTGGCTCCATATATTCACAGTTTCCAAAACTTCCTTGAGATGGGACACTCTTTTGTCATCTTGTCAGTTCTGTCCTTGAATTAATAAACTTTGACACATACATAAGATCAATTTGACTAAGAAATCTTATTTTGACATAGACATAAAAGTAATATGGTTTGTAAAATTCCTGTATATACGGAAGCCTTTTAATCTAATGTTTCATAGGAATTCAACCCTCTAGGCCTGCTGGTGATCAGTTCTTGAAAAGCACCCTCTTTTCGTGATATCACACGTTGTCTCCTCTATGTGCAGCAAGAATCTCTTGCTTCATTAGTTTTTATGCCTCTGCTTTCAGAAAACAGTCTGGTTGGGACCCCTGTGAAAGGAACTGTCTGGCTTAACTTATCTTGATTAATGCCTCTTTTTTTCTTTTCTTTTCTTTTCTTTCATTTTCCACATAAAGCTAATTGGATTAGAGAAAAAGAACTCTTCTTCGAATGCTACCAGTTTCTTTCCTTCTCATCTGAGCTATTATTCATTGTCCATAGGAAAAAAAATTCCCTAATTTTGGCACGGTAGGTTCTGTTTATTCACCAGACTTGCTACCGTTTACTCGTCAGCTCAGAGAGAACGTCGAAAAAATATAACAAAACCAAAATATGCATCAAGACAAGAGGAGGAAAGAGAATGTGAAAGACTACTAAAAAAAAAAAAAAAAAAAAAAAAGTCAACAGCTAGGGTCAAGGAATCAATCTGCAAATATTCAGAGCCAGTAGGCTTGTACTACACTAGTCACTATGGAAAATGAAAAATGACCAAGACAGAAATCTCACCTCTTAACACCCCCCAAATCCCAATTTTCTCAACTGTAAAATGGGAATAAAAGTATTACAGTATTTACTATATAAAGTTGCGATGAGTCAATAACATAATACACAAAAGCAGTCAGCCAATTATCCAAATCCGTGTTATTAATATTATCATCATCATCATTCTTCTCACCGTACTTGGGGAATGAAGGAGACAGATACTGTGAGTAAGTTTTCCTTTTTTTTTTTTTTTTTTTTTTTTTTAGACAGAGTCTCGCTCTGTCGCCCAGGCTGGAGTGGAGTGGCGCCATCTCGGCTCACTGCAAGCTCTGCATCCTGGGTTCACGCCATTCTCCTGTTTCAGCCTCCAGGTAGCTGGGCCTACCGGCGCCCGCCACCACGCCCGGCTAATTTTTTGTATTTTTAGTAGAGACGGGGTTTCACCGTGTTAGCCAGGATGGTCTCGATCTCCTGACCTGGTGATCCGCCCGCCTCGGCCTCCCAAAGTGCTGAGATTACAGGCGTGAGCTACCGCGCCCCGCCAAGTGAGTAAATTTTCTATTGGGCACAGAGTTACCTGCTAAAATGAAGTGTGGAAAAATACAATGGGGTGTGTGTATGTGAGAGAGAGAGGGAGATTTGGAGGTGGGGTGGGGAAGACCCTATTTGAAGTGGGCTTTGAAGAATGAACAAGATTTTTATTAGGGAACAAAATGGAAACCAGCATTCCAGGACAAGCGTCTCAGGAGAAGCAAAAGCGCAGAGTTGTGAAAGCTCTTAGATTTTCAGAACTTTGAATTCTGAACTATATATAAACCTGGAAAATCTCGGTTAACTATGGGATGGCATCAAGATTTCAATTTCAAGCTTTCTGGTCATGCACAGTAAAGCTGGAATTAGAGTCTCTTACGTATGGCAGTTGTTGACAAGTCCGTACAGGTACCTAAGTGCTTCCCAGAAAATTCCTCAAGTTGGTAGGTCCTGGGGGAATCAGTTTAGTTCTAAAGAGAGGACTCATCAGAGATCTGTTCAACTTCCAGGAATCTGTGAGGATAGCTCCAAATCTCACTCTCATGCCCAGCCTATCAAACAAAGCAAACCGGTTGGACTGAAGCTGTGGGATCGGGACTGAAATAGAACCAGCGAGAAAGGCAGTCCTCCTCGATTCCTAGAGAGAACACATTCAGCCAGCAGTTGGATAGAGGATACTAGCAAGTCCCTCGCCAGGGCGGGGGAGCAGAGACACATTCCTGTCCCGTTTACATTCTTCCTCTGGCGGAGGCGGGAGGGTCGCTTGAAGCCTCGGATTTCGAGATCAGCCAGGACAAAAAAGCGAGACCCCCGTTTCTACCAAAAAGGGGGGGGGGTGGGCGGGGGGAAGAGAGAGAGAGAGAGAAAGGAAAAGAAAGAGAAAGAAAAGAAAGAAAAACTAGGCGCGGTCACGTGTACGTGTAGTTCCAGCTGCTCGGAGGTTGAGGCGGGAGGATCTCTTGAGCCCAGAAGTTCGAGGCCGCAATGAGCTCTGATCGTGGCAGAGCGAGGCCCTGGCTCAAATACATACATACTTTGTTCTGACTTTGTGTGCCCTTACTCTTTCCTCAGGTGCACGCTTGGGCTCGTTACTGCTCAGAATTTTAGAATCACAGATCCAGCAGTGATCAGGCAGCTGCAGCTGTCAGGGACCACCACCACCTACGCGATTGATCCGTGGGAGAAGCCGTCCTACTCTTTTCTTTCTCCTTTGTCCTTCTCATTCCTGACCCCTTCAGGATTCTCAGTCTTCCCTCCGGGAGGTAGGGATTCTACGGAGAGAGAAGGGTTGTGGGGCTTGTTCTGTTGCGGGTTCAAACCCAAATTGTCTTTTTCTTTTCAGACTTTTGGCCAGTCTTGTCTCGCTCCAACCTCCTACCCCCACCCCATTCCTCAGTGCATTCGTGAATTTCTCCAAGCAGGCCTTTCCAGATCGACACTAAGTTCCAATCCCGAGCTGTGTGACCCAGCACCAATTCAGTCACGATGATGACTTGCAATTGCTTAATCAGTTGGCCTTTCCTCCTAGCTGTGAAGGTGAGGACCGCCGGTGTCAGCGTTCGTCCTGAATACTCAGTGCCCAGGCACAGAGTAGGCATTCAGTCAATACTTGTTGAACGGGTTAATGGATTCCTGATGTTCACTGGTTGATATCGTCACTTTCAAATAATTTCTCCCATTTTTCTGTTTTGTTTTCACCCTCCTAGTTTACCGTGCAGGATTGCAAACACCAGAGAGAAAATCAGTCTCTGGAATGATGCCTTTGATGGACCAAGATGCAGCTGATGAAGCATTGAACCAATTAGCACCTAGCAGGAGGGCACCCTTGCTCTGTGTCCTTGAAGGTTAAAGCTGTCAAAAAGTGGTCTCCCTCAAGTTCGGCCATCTTGCTCTCAGAGATCTAGAACTGGTAGGAGAATATAGCCTTGATAGTGGAGAGGAAACTATTGCTGTTGTGAGGGACTGAGAGAACCAGGCAGAGAGCCCAGATTGACACAGCAGGTGACAAAAGAGGCGCGCCTACCTTGGGGAATACGGAGGAACAGAGGAAAGTGAGACCAGGAGAAAGAGCAGGGGGGCGGGTGTGCAGGCCGGGCGCCGTGGCTCACGCCTGTAATCCCAGCACTTTGGGAGGCCAAGGCAGGCGGATCACAAGGTCAGGAGTTCGAGACCAGCCTGGCCAATATGGTGAAACCCTGTCTCTACTAAAAATACAAAAATTAGCTGGGCGTGGTGGCGAATGCCTGTAGTCCCAGCTACTCGGAAGGCTGAGGCAGGAGAATCGCTTGAACCCGGAACCCGGGAGGCAGAGGTTGCAGTGAGCCGAGATGGCGCCATTGCACTCTAGCCTGGGCGACGGACTGAGACTTCGTCTCAAAAAAGGGAGTGACTGTGTTGCTTTTGCTTTCTTGGAAATCTTTTTTCTTAGTAATTTTCCTAAAGTAATTTCCTTAGGAAATAATGTATTGCTAAGAGTATTGCAACTTTTAGTATTGACGAGGTACTTTTACTGAATCAGTATAAGTCAACAAGCAACCACCAGAAGCTGGAAAAGGCCAGGATAGGATTTTACTCTAAAGTTTCTAGAGGGAGCTGGACGCAGCCCACACCTTGATTTTGGCCCACATACTGATTGTGGATTTCTGGCCTTCAGAAATACATATCTGTTGTAAGAGAATACATATCTGTTGTTTTTAGACAGTTTCTGATAATTTGTTACAGTAACCACAGGAAATTAACACCAGGCACTATGCAGTAAATTCCGTATGAACAACTCAAATATAAGAATTTGTAAGACAGCCGGGCGCGGTGGCTCACGCCTGTAATCCCAGCACTTTGGGAGGCGCGGTGGCTCACGCCTGTAATCCCAGCACTTTGGGAGGCGCGGTGGCTCACGCCTGTAATCCCAGCACTTTGGGAGGCCGAGGCGGGCGGATCACCTGAGGTCGGGAGTTCCAGACCAGCCTGACCAACATGGAGAAACCCCCATCTCTACTAAAAATACAAAATTAGCCGGGCTTGGTAGCGCATGCCTGTGATCCCAGCTACTCGGGAGGCTGAGGCGGGAGAATTGCTTGAACCTGGGAGGCGGAGGTTGCGGTGAGTCGAGATCGCGATATTGGACTCTAGCCAACTCCATCTCCAAAAAAAAAAAAAAAAAAGAATTCTAAGACAGCATAGTTTCCACTGGCATATTGGATAAAAACTTCCGTCAGCAGTGATTTTAATGAAGATGAATGACAAAACAATAAGAAACTCCAGCGCTAGTTAACTTTCTTTATTATGATCTTATTTGTCATAATTTTTTGCACAATGCGTTTTTATTTTAGGACTCAGTCAAAATTTTGGGCCAAGGAGACCGACGCGCTGTCGCCTGCACTAAGAGAAACGCAACGAACAACTTTGTCAATGCATTGCATTATACTATAGCAGCAACTATACTTTTAAATGATTCGAATCTTGAGGTTTCAAACTGAACCGTCTTGTGCCTTTTGCCCGGCGGGCATTTCTGCGGGGACCGCGGGTCACCTTCTGAATTTTTACCTTCATAAACAGCAAGGACTGCGCTCTTTCGCACGGCGCCCCGTTTTTTCGTAGAGTTCCGTCGGCCAAAACCACTTGAAACTCGCTCAGCGGCGTCGGGGCTCCAGCCAGGCGTCACCTTCCACAGCGAACCTGCGAACCACAGCGTCCCCTGGGGGTCTCCGTCCGCGTGGCCGCTTCCTCTTACATCGGTGACGCAAGGGAAGGGCGTCTAGGATCCGCCGGTTTCCTTCCTCACTGCTCCCATCAGTGCGAAAGCAACGTGTTGGGGGTTCGGGGTGTGTGGCGGCTGAACAGCTGCCTGAAGTTCTCTGATGGCGCTGGAGGGAGCTCCAGAGAAGAGGTCATGGGGAGAAGGCACACCTTAAACGCCCCGGGGTGGGGGGGGGGGGCGACATTCCCTAATGGGAAAAAAGACACACCTTAAACGCAGTAGAGGGCGACATTCTCTACTAGGGAAAATGCGGAAGAACACAGTTGTAATCAACGGTAGCGTGGCCGAGCGGTCTAAGGCGCTGGATTAAGGCTCCAGTCTCTTCGGGGGCGTGGGTTCAAATCCCACCGCTGCCAAGTACTTTTCATTCTCACTAGGGACTGTTTTTAGGAGAATCCCTTTCCAAATGTTCAGTATGAATGGTTCTTACGTATCAATCCCATTCTCCTCTTCGACTTCTGTTTACCACGGAGCCAGAGATAACCGTCCCCAGAACAATGTTCCCCCATTATTTAGAGGACAGTGTACTCCAGGCGCCTCAGATACAGCAATGAGTGACACAAGCAAAAAAACCCTTAATGGCACATACTTAGTGAGGTGGCACGATCTCGGCTCACTGTAACCTCCGCCTCCCCGGTTCAAGCCATTCTCCTGCCTCAGTCTCCCGAGTGGCTGGGATTACAGGTGCGCGCCACCACGCCCTGGCTAATTTTTGTATTTTTAGTAGAGACGGGGTTTCGCCATGTTGGTCAGGCTGGTCTCGAACTCCTGGCCTCAAGTGATCCTCCCTCCTCGGCCTCCCACAGTGCTGGGATTACAGGCGTGGGCCACCGCACGCAGCCTGAAGGATTAATTTATGTTTGGAATCAGCTGCTGTTCTTCCTCCAGCCTCTCTGTAGTGTGCTCACTTCACACTTGGAACCATAGTTATATGGTATAGAGAAGAGACAACTCTAGGGAAAGTGCCAGTGCCTTGCCTTACCTTACAACTGCCAGACACACCCAGTCAGGTACCTTCTCTGTGGGCTTCTCAGTACCCCGTATCTCTGTGGTTGCCGGGGGAGCCCTATCTCTCCTCGGAGCAGTTCTCTCTGCATACTTCTGGTCTGTCTCTCATTCTCTAGACCTCAGCTTGGAAGTTGTTTCTCCTTGGAAGCCTTCCCTCATCTCCTTCTCTTCCTCTTTCCAGCTTCATAAAGTTTGGGAGGGTATGGAGAGGATAAGGAAGGGAACAGCACAGAACGTCCTTGCCCCACGGAACTCAGAGTTTAGTGGGGTTCTCATGGGGGTTCACAAGGATTAGATAAGTTATTGCCCTAATATGGGGCAAACTCTACTAAAAAGGAGATAGCTTTCTATGTGTAGATTTTGAATGATGTTCCAGATTTAAGAGAATAAAAAGAAAATAATATGAATTGTATGTTAGAAAGAAGGACTGTCACAGAATTGTTCCCAACTGGGATTACAGGTGCAGGCCACTAGGTCCGGCTAATTTTTGTATTTTTAGTAGAGAGGGGCGTTTTGCCATGTTGGCCAGGCTGGTCTCAAACTCCTGACCTCAAGTGATCCTCCCACCTGGGACTCCCCAAGTGCTGGGATTACAGGTGTGAGCCACCACGCCTGACCACCTTTATTGATTTTTGAATGCTAATCCAACTTCTCCATGCTAGAATAATCTTAACTTGTTCAAGACATGTAATCTTTTAAAAAATGTATATTCCTGGATTCAGTTTGTTACTATCTCAAGATTTTTCTCACTACATTCATGAATGATAATAGCCTGTAATTTTCTTTTTTAAAAAATTTCCTTGTGTTGTTTGTTTTTCCTCATCGTTCCCTAATGGTTTGGTATTAAGGTTATACAGGCCTCATAAAATGAGTTTAACATTGGGATTATTTTCCCTTGCATGTTTAGTAGAATTAACTGGTGAAAACATCTGACCCTTGAGTTTTCTTTCTGGGAATATATATTATAGGTTCTATTTAAATAATTGGTATCAGACTATTCAGATCTTATATTTTTTTCCTGTACTAGTTTTAGAAACAAGAGTCTTCCTAAGGAAATATACCAGATGAACCTGGAAAATCTTTTCACCAGAAAGCAAGGAGGCTACTGAAGACTACTTTAGTCATGTTAAACAAAAAAGGCTTGTGCTGACACCTATGAAGTAGTCTTACCCAAATCAAATCTAAATATAGAATTTGATAAAGCCCTTAGATCTAACTATTAATTTTTAGGACATGCAGGGGCAGAGGAATGTGTTAAATACTACCAAAGGTGTGCAATAATTAAAATCCAAACTGTGAAACTCTGCAGCACCAGCAACCTAGTTAATCATTAAATAAATTTCAAGAAAAAAGAGATATAGGGAGAACTTATATATTAAAATACTTAAGATACATACCAACTAATCACAATGTATTGACCTTATTTGAATACTTTTTTTTTTTTTTTTCTGAGACAGTGTCTCACTCTGTCACCCAGGCTGGAGTGTGGTGGCACAATCACGGCTCACTGCAGCTTTGACCTCCCAAGCTCGTCTCCCGAGTAGCTGGGACCACAGTCATGCACCACCATGCCTGGCTAATTTTTGAATTTTTTGTAGAGACAGGGTCTTGCTATGTTGCCCAGGCTGGTCTTGAACTCCTGAGCCCAAGTGATCTTCTTGCCTTGGCCTCCCAAAGTACTGGGATTACAGGTGTGAGCCATGGTGCCTGGCTTGGTTTTTTTTAATGTTAAGAAAAAATGGCATTAGAGAAAAATTTGAACAGCGAATGAATCTTTGATGATGTTGCCAAATAGATAATTTTGTTTAGGTGTGATAACTGTACTAGTGTTAGTTTACTTATATTTTTGGTTTGTTTTTTAGAGATGGGGTCTTGCAATATTGCCCAAGCTAACCTCAAACTTTAGGGCTCAAGGAGTCCTCCCACTTCAGCCTCTTAAGTAGCTGGGACTACAGCATAGGCCGTCGTGCCCCTGGCTCTATTATTAGTTTGTTAGTTAGTTTGTTTGTTTGTTTATTTATTTATTTATTTATTTTGAGACTGAGTCTTGCTCTGTCGCCCAGGCTGGAGTGCAGTGGCGCGATCTCGGCTCACTGCAACCTCTACCTCCCGGGTTCAAGCAATTCTCCTGCCTCAGCCTCCCGAGTAGCTGGGATTACAGGCGCCTGCCACCACGCCTGGCTAATTTTTGTATTTTTAGTACAGGCGGGGTTTCACCATGTTGGCCAGGCTGGTCTTGAACTCCTGACCTCAGGCAATCCATCCACCTCAGCCTCCCAAAAGTGCTGGAATTACAGGTGTGAGCCACCGTGCCCGGCCCATATTGTTAGTTTTTTTAAACAGTCATTATCTCCTATAGACAATTAAATACTTATGGATGAAACACAATTTCTGTCATTTGCTTGAAAATAATCTTAAGCAGAGGGAATGGGTGGGGATACAGATGAAACAAGATTAACCCTGACGTAATAATTGTTGAAGCTGAATGATGTGTACATGGAGTTCATTTTTCTATTGCCTTAACTCTTGCATGGGTTTGAAATGTTCTATAATAAACTTTATTTTTTATTTATTTATTTTTTTGAGATGGAGTTTCGCTCTTATTGCCCAGGCTGGAGTGCAATGGCACAATCTCGGCTCACCACAACCTCTGCCTCCCGGGTTCAAGCGATTCTCCTGCCTCAGACTCTGAGTAGCTGGGATTACGGGCAAGCGCCACCATGCCTGGCTAATTTTTGCATTTTTAGTAGAGACAGGGTTTCTCCATATTGGTCAGGCTGGTCTTGAACTCCTGACCTCAGATGATCTGCCCACCTCAGCCTCCCAAAGTGCTGGGATTACAGGCAGGAGCCACTGCGCCCGGCCAATACATTTTTTTTAATAGAGGAGGACTATAAAACCTATGGGAAGCTCTGATGGCACGACTATGACTTGCTGATGTTCACTACAGGTTATCTGGCTAGGCCACTTGCTGAGAAACTCCTGATGTATCTTCAAGTCTATTCTGGTTGGATTTCTCACTGAAAACTGCGTCTTTTGTCTGGGAGGTGAAAGCCAGACCCTCATCTTTCTGGGAGATAAGGAAAGTAGGCTGGAGGCGTTGACATTCAGTATGCTCCTTTTTCAAATGGAATTCCTGTCCTCCATGTGTCTAGCCCACATATCCTTTGTTTAACCTTCTTCAGAAAATAAACCTCCAGTCTTCTTTGGGCTTGAGGACCTAGGACTCTGCTTGCTTCCTAAATAGCCTCTGACAGACTCTCCTCGTTTTAGTCTATTCATTCTCATTTCCAGGGGTACATGGTGCCACCAATTCTTGAGTCGCTTAAAGATTCTATGATGTAAAATAAATGTCTTTTTTTTTTTCTTTTCTTTTTTAGAAGGAGTCTCACTCTGTTGCCCAGACTGGAGTGCAGTGGTGCAATCTCGGCTAACTGCCACTTCCGCCTCCCACTCCCCAGTAGCTGGGACTACAGGCACGCACCACCAAGCCCAGCCAATTTTTCTATTTTTAATAAAGAGACAGGGTTTCACCATGTTGGCCAGGCTGGTCTCAAATTGCTGATCCCAAGTGATCTGCCCATCTCAGCCACCCAAAGTGCTGGGATTACACGTGTCAACCACGGTGCCCGGTCAGATTTGTCCTTTACTTGCCCCCTTCAGGCTAAAATTTAGCTTTCTCAAATTCAATGTCATTATTACTTATCCTTTTTTCAGTTTCCAAAATTTTGTAGTTGCCTCTTCTGCCATTCTTCCTGATTATGAATGGTTTTACTGTAGCATTAGTGTAGTTCTGAGGGGGAGCAATACCAAATACACGTAGTCAAGCTACAATCCTTACCAAGAAGTATCTTATCATCTTTCTTAAACTTAAATGAAATTGGCATTCTCCATTTCTTTTGTGAAGGTAAAAATAATCTCATATCAGTGTTCTGGTAAAAATTTTGTGTTTGCACGTGGAATGTAATTCGATTTAAAAAGTGAGTTTTACCTGGTGATTTTTGTATGTAAATTATAACTTAGACTAACTCTTGTTTGGTAACTCTTCAGAATTAGAACTACAGATATCTTAGGGTTTCAAGCAACATGTTTTGTCATTCAACTATGCACCTGACCTTCGAATTCCTTCAGTATTATTCTTACCAAACTTATTACCTTATGGCAGAATCTGTTCCAGTTGAGTATCTCCTAAATGTACAGATGTCCTGTAGCTTCTACTTGTGGATTGTAATTCTATTCTGGGATAGTTGCAGAACAAGATTAACCCACTGTTCATAAAGTAGTCCTTCAGAATTTTCAAGACATATCTTTTTCACCAGGTAAAAATCTAAAATTTATTCAAATACGCTCTCAAAATATTCATTTTATGTGTTTAGGAAACATCAAAAGACTTCTGGAGGTCAGACTAGTAATTTCTTTTTTTTTTTTTTTTTTTGAGATGGAGTCTTGCTGTGTTGCCCAGGCTGGAGTGCAGTGACACGATCTTGGCTCACTGCAACCTCTGCCTCCAGGGTAGCTGGGACTACAGGCGTGCACCACCATGCCTGGCTAATTTTTGTATTTTTAGTAGAGACAGGGTTTCACCATATTGGCCATGCTGGTCTCGAACTCCTGACCTCGTGATCCTCCCTCCTCAGCCTCCCAAAGTGCTGGGATTACAGGCATGAACCCCCGTGCCTGACTCTTATCTGTGATTTCTAAACCTGTTCTCTCCCTGCCTCCCTTTTCACTTTGAATCTTAGCAATCCTGATACAATATGGAGAAGTACCATTCTAGCTTTATGTTAAAAAAATTGCTAAAAATGATTGGTGTTTATAAATTACAAACTGTTTTCTGCTGAACTGAGGTATAACTTCATGTCGGAAAGATGTGGTGCACGCATATGGGAATTGCCTAGGAAAGCCTGAGCACAGAATTTACTAGTTACGTGATCCTGGGCAAGTTTGTTAATCTTTCTGTGCCTCAAATTCCTGATCTCATAGGGATGTTGTATGGATTTAAAAAGTTTAAATGTGTAAATCCCTTAGAACAGTGCCTAGAACACAGCAAGCACTAATAAGTGTTTATTAATATTAGGAAGTGATTGATAAACTCTTGGAAGTAAATGTGCTCACTGAAAAAATAGTGAATAAGAAGGTAAAGGACA
This sequence comes from Homo sapiens, assembly GCF_000001405.40. NCBI lineage: Eukaryota > Metazoa > Chordata > Mammalia > Primates > Hominidae > Homo > Homo sapiens. Next base: position 260,442 of record NT_167246.2, read on the forward strand.
ATGTCTTTGGGGAATCTCACAATTAAGGGTCAGGAAATCAGGAATAACTAATATAAGAGACAGAAGGACCAGCCTAAGAGGTAGGAAAAACAGAAAGTAACACCAGAATCGTTATACTCAGGCACTGGTCAAAATACTGACTACTGAGGTCTGAGAAACAGTCACTGGAGAGAGGGATTTCCTACTCCCATCAAGTTCATGGGTACTCCATACTTGATGTTTTCTTTTCTTATGTCCAGTAAGATTTGAGCTCACTCTAAAAGCTTTTCCACATTCCTCACATTCATAAGGTTTCTCCCCAGTATGAACTCGCTTATGTCCAATCAGAGCTGAGCCCTGACGGAAGGACGTGCCACACTCACTGCAGGTGTATGGCTTCTCACCAGTGTGGATTCTTTTGTGCTGCCTCAGGACTGAACTATGATGGAAGGCCATTCCACATACCTCACATTTGTGAGGCTTCTCTCCAGTGTGAATTCTTCGATGATTGGTCAAGTTTGACTTCCCACTGAAAGCTTTCCCACACTCTAAACATTTGTAAGGTTTCTCTCCAGTGTGGATTCTCTGATGGATGGTAAGGCAGTGCTTATCTTGGAAGGTTTTCCCACAATCCCTGCATTGATAGGGCTTCTCCCCTGTATGCTCTCGTTCATGAGCCCTGCGCTTACAGTTATGACGAAAGGCTTTCCCACACTCCTCACACCTGTAACGTTTCTCTTCAGTGTGGATCCTTCTGTGTTTGGTGAGTTCTGCCTTGATGCTGAAGTCTTTTCCACACTGGGGACACCCATAGTGTTTCTCCCGAGTATGGATTCGTTTGTGTTTGCTTAGGTCTGAGCTCCGACTGAAGGCCCTTCCACACTTGCTGCACTCATAAGGTCGTTCCCCAGTGTGGATTCTTATGTGTTTGGTGAGGTCTGAACTCCCACTGAAGGCCTTCCCGCACTCCTCACATTCATATGGCTTCTCCCCAGTGTGGATTCTGCCATGGATGGTAAGGGAATGCTTAAACTGGAAGGCCTTCCCACAGCAGTTACATTTGTAAGGCTTCTCCCCGGTGTGGATAAGCTGATGCATACAGAGACGGTTCCTGGTCTTGAAGGCCTTCCCACAGTCCCTGCACTCGTGAGGCTTCTCCCCACTGTGGGTTTTTTTATGTCGGCAAAGAGCTGATCTACTGTTGAAAGCCTTCCCACACTGGGTGCAATTAAAAGGTTTCTCCCCTGTGTGGATTATCCGGTGCATAGAAAGCTGATTTCTGGTCTTGAATGCTTTCCCACACTCATTACACACATGGGGTTTCTCACCAGAATGAATTTGCTCATGGAGAATTAGATCTGAGTGCCAACTGAAGTTTTTGCCACACCTGGCACATTCATGGAGTTTCTGTGCTATAAGAACTTTATTACATTGACTATGTTTTGAGTTTGGATTCAAGTTTTTACTAAGCACTTTCTGGTTCTTTCCTTTTTTGCAGGTCACTTCCTCAGAGCCTTCTTTCTCTTCTCTCAGTTTCTCCCTTATAGATGTTTCCCATTGATTCTCTAATTTGACATCCTGAACACAAACTTCTCTAACCTTAGGATCCCGGGAATCAACTTTTAGGAGACTGTTAAATTTCATCCAGTAGGCTTCTCCATTTTCAAAAATCTCTTGTTGTGAACTTGCCTTTTCATTCTCAGGCCACATCTTGTCAGCTGACACTTAAACAAGAAAATACAAATGTCAGAGGGAAGGAAATAAGTGAGATGGGAGGCGTGAAGCAATGTTAAGCTGTTTGAAGAGTAAATAACTTTTCCATGCTGGAAAAATTACTAACGTTGTGGCCAAAAGTCAGAACAGGCTGAAATAATGAAAAGTATTGAGATATTTTACACTCAGCACACTTTATAAAAAATCCTTAAAAACCTATTCCTCCTCTATAGTCTCCTAGTTTAGTGAGTGTAAACTCTATACACCTAGTCATCTAAGCCACAAAACAAAATAATCTTCAACTCTGTCTCCCTTGTATTTACCCAGCTAACATTTTACAAATTCTACCTGTGAAGAGAGTTACAGAGGAGGTGCTGAAATGCTGATGCAGTCCCTTTTCAAGGAACTGTCTGCTTTGCTCCCAAGGGTGGGCCCTGGAGAGCCATATTTCTGTTATGTGACTCAGCCCATCTGGTTGGGGCAGATTAGATCTGTGCAATACCTGACCCAAACCAGGTCAGATTCTCTAATCCTGGACTTTAGAATTGTGATCTGACGGCAGGTAAGGCCAGCTCTAAGAGTAGCTCAGTCTTTAGCACTTAAATTTGAGAACTAGTGGTGGTGGGATGGTATTTGGTACAGAGGAGGGAATGTTCTGCCATCTGGTCCGAGAAGAAGAGAAGGTCAATTTGCCTAGAAAGAAGAATGAAGCTGACTCACAAAGAAGCAGGGAATACAGTTGGAAACCTGATGGTTTTGAGTCTCTTCTAGGGCCTGACACATAGCTGCCCTTAGGTCCCATGACACATCCTGAATAATAAATAAATTCATGTTTTTCTGCTTAAGCTAGCTTGGGTTAATTTCTATTGCTGTCAACCAAAGACTCCAAATACATCTTATTAATATTATCTCTGAACTCTATCTCTTCCTCTTTATTTCCACTGCCAGTGCATTCTCACTAATTGCTATATCCCTCAAACATCCTTTACCCTGAATCCCTTCTAATCCATCCTCTGCACTGCTTCCAGATTATTCTCTCTGAAAATCAAGTCTAATCATGTCACTTTTTAGCTTAAAATACTTCAATGGCACTCCATAGTTAACCAGACAGGAAGAAAGTAAAGCATACGGTCAAGAGTCCTGGCTCTAGAGTGAGACTGCCTGGGTTCAAATCCTAGTATGACAGTTAATAAATCTTAATACCTGTGTGAACTTGGGAGGATGACTTCACTTCTCCTTTGCCTCAGTTGCTTTATCTAAATGAGTTAATGTATGTAAAGCACATGCCACACTGAAGTACTTTAATCAATATTAGCTGTTATTGTAAGTTCAAGTTTTGTAGTTTAAATTCCTTAAGAAAACTCCCAAAAAACAGACGTCATATCATGATCTTGCCCCTTTCTACTACTTATGAACCTCCCCAAAGCTATTCTAAGTCCCCTGCTCTACTCACACTGAACAATTCATAGTTCATATTATTTTATTCCTCAATGCTTTCTCACATGTTATTCCTTCTGCCTAGAATGACTCTCACCTGTCTCAATTTATGAGCACTGCAGTAACTGACACACAGAAGGGTAATAAATATTCTGAGATTTTTTTTTTTTTTTTGAGGTGGAGTCTCACTGTGTCCCCCGGGTTGGAGTGCAGTGGTGTGATCTCAGCTCACTGCAACCTCTGTCTCCTGGGTTCAAATGATTCTCCGGCCTCAGACCTCCCAAGCAGCTGGGATTACACCCAGCATGCACCACCACACCCAGCATGCACCACCACACCCAGCTAATTTTTGTATTTTTAGTAGAGATGGGGTTTCACCATACTGGCCAGGCTGGTCTCAAACTCCCGACCTCAGGTGATCTGCCCATCTTGGCCTCCCAAATTGCTGGGATTACAGGCATGAGCTACTGTGCCCAGCCTCTGAGCCTTTTTTGAGGGCCAAATTGCAAAAATCTATTAGATAGGTTGCAAAGAACCAATTAGATAATAACAGAATAATTGCCCAAATAGTTTGTCACTGTTTCAATTTTCTTTTCCTTAAGTTTCCTAAATGGGTTTCCTTTCTGGGCCCTTCGACTGGATGATCCACCACTGAGAATGTTCCATAACCATTATGCCACATGGAAGATCAGAGGGAACTGAAAGTTTCTCTATTACTCACCTGGGTAGGAGCAGCTTAGGGACTCCCTGTCCTGTGGATCCTGCACACAGGGGTCTACTTCTCGCTCCAGATGAGAGATTAAAGGAGGTTTAGGAAATGGAAATCCTGGTTGCAGAGAAGAAATAAGTGTGTAGAGTAACTTATAACTTAATAACTTATAACTTAGCTAAGCAGCCCTGATCCTTCTGTTTGTATATGAAAACAGGAAAGAAATGTTAATTTAGATAGAGAAAAGGGTTTTTCAGGGGTCTAGTAACATGTAAAAGAACATGTTTGGGGACTTTCTCAGAAAAGTCACACTCAGAAGGAAAGAGAAGTTCTGGGAAACAGTCATTTGGGTGTGCTCTCCTGTTTTTTTTTTTTTTAATTTTATTTTGTTTTACTTTAGGAGAATGGGAGTCTGGTATAGGAAGACTATCAGTTTCAGGCACATAGAAGGCAGTTCTTGACTAGGAGCGGAATATAGAACACCCCATAAAAAAATGAGAGGCTTGAGGAAGCAAGAACCCAGGGAAAACAGAAGGTAAATGTCTCCTTTTAACTCATTCCAAATCAGAAAACAGCAACTAGGTTAGCCAAAAAATTATCTTGCTATGTAATAGAGGCAACTCAAAACTCTTAATTTTTGGGCAAGATCCTGATGATAAAGAATAAGGACTCTTTCAATATGAGACCTTATATACATCAATAAATAAATCAATTAAATAATAAAAAAAGAAGGTAGAAAGCATTAAGTGTAGGGAAGGTCCTTACCAAGTGATACCATGTTCCCATAATTTTCCAACATCACATCCTTATAGAGATGCCTTTGAGCGTAGGTCAGACACTGCCACTCCCTGTTAGTGAAGTTCACAGCTACATCCTCAAATGTCACTGACTCCTGAAATAATATGCTCCTGCTATCCTGGAGAAAACGCCATAGTTTCCTCAGGAAACAGAGGCAGAAGAAAGGAATTTGCAAGGAGGAGGTTTATAGAAGTGAAAGGCTCTTCCCTTTTGGTGGGTATGTACAAATGAGATGAAAGGGAGCATGGGGTTTTGATAGCAAAAAATAATGAAAGAGAAAACAACCCACAAGTGGTTTATCATGCAACAAAATGTTCCTTATGAGAGGGAGAACATTGATTTAGGAGTTGCACAGCCAGAGAACGCAGTGAAAACAAGGCCATATTTTGGAGGTAGTGATGTATTTTCAAGGAGGAGGAAAGGGGCCTCAGCTCACTTGGGCCTGGCTCATTAGTGTGATATCTGCTTGCGGCAGGTTTCCTTGGCTTCCATCTTTAGTGAAGGCAGGATATGGAGCAGGTAATAGAGCTGAGGGAAGATAAGTAAGCCAAGAGTCAATATAGCACAGTATTAATGAAATCTCCTGCATTCGTCTTCTCTTCCTCAAATGTAGAAGCTTCTGCAGCTCTAACCTAGGGCTTTAGGCTACTGCCTTACAGTATCCTTCCTCTTCATTATTTTTCTAGTCTCAACTTCCAGTGTTGGGCATCAGGCCCTGGCACAGCAGCCAAGGCAGCTCTTGGAAATGCACTCTTTTCCTGTCTCACCTACTGTTTTCCTGTGGTCTTTGTCCTGGAATAAACTTTCCCCCTCCCCAAACAGATCTGGTAAAAAGGCCCAAATCACTTATTCCCTGGTTTTGAATAGACCTTCTTCCTGTATTTGAATACTGAAGTCATTTCTTCCAAAATACTTGGGGTAGAAGGAGGGTGAAAAAGAGTGTGTGCATGCACGCGTATGTGTGTGTGTGCATATGTGTTGAACAGAAGCATCCAGGGATAGGACCAAAGCTTATTTTTTCAGGTAACTTAATGGCTGGTCTACCTCCAGTTAGTTACAAATTTTTTTCCTTATTCCTCTTAGAGAAGAATCATTCTTCCCGATTTTGCACATTTTTCCTACTAATTCCCTAGTACTGAGTTATCCTCCCTATGTCAATATAGTATAGCACACAGAGCATTTTAAAATGCAAAAGAAACTTTATAAAGAGTGTCCAAGTGTTCAGGTATAATCCATATGATTGGGTGAGAAGTAGTTTCTTTTTTTTTTTTTGAGACTTAAGAGTCTCGCTCTGTCTCCCAGGCTGGAGTGCAGTGGCGTGATCTTGCCTCACTGCAAGCTCTACCTCCTGGGTTCACACCATTCTCCTGCCTCAGCCTCCCAAGTAGCTGGGACTACAGGTGCCCACCACCATGCCTGGCTAATTTTTTGTATTTTTAGTAGAGATGGGGTTTCACCATGTTAGCCAGGATGGTCTCCATCTCCTGACATCATGATCCACCCGCCTCGGCCTCCCAAAGTGCTGGGATTACAGGCATGAGCCACCACGCCCAGCTGAGAAGTAGTTCATATTACTAATTAATAGGGCCTGACTTTATTCCTTGCAGGCCAGCTCAATCTTTCTGTAGCTTCAATGTTTAAGGTGCCTTATTTTTCTTGATAGTTTATCAACACATCGCCAAGTCCAAATCTGAATAATTGCTGTCTGCTTTTAAGACACCAGCAGGGTCAAAGTAATCTATTGGTAAGATTTTATAATCACCCTTTGGATTTAGACCTCCAAGACTATCATTCCATTTTTACGAAAAACCGATTTAGAACCAAGCTGATTTCTTTTCACTGAAATTGCCCAAGAAGACTCTTCTTTAGTTTCAGCTACTTATAGCTTTTGACCAAGACCAAGGCTGCATCTCAGTCATGGTGGTTCCATACAGTTTTTCCACTGTCTCACTCTAAAAGCTCCGAGCTCCTTTATAACTGTCTCAAAAAGTCTAAACTCATCTGGATGGCACACAACTCACAGCAGACACATGTTTGTGCCTTGTTAATGTTACATAACAGTTCTTTTCCTTATAACATTAACACACTTAAAGCTCTCAATTGGATGTTTTCAACCATTATTTTATTATGAATATTTTCAAGTATATAGAAAAGTTGAAAAAATTATATAGTAAATATCCATATACCAATCACTTACATTCCACAATTTACGTTCTGCAATATTTGCTTTATCACATACTTATCCATTTATCTATTCCTCTCTCTGTTCATTAATGTATTTTATTTTTTGAATCATTTCAAAGTAAGTTGAAAGCATCAGTACACCTCACCCCTAAACAGTTTAACATGTATATCATTAACTGGAAGTTCAACATTTGTTTACCTTCTTTTTCGAGGTAAAATTTACATATAATGAAATGCACATGTCTTAAATGTACCCTTAGAGAAACTTTGACAAAAGCATACCCCTATGTAACTCATTCCCTACTGGTTTTTACCATATCTTCTTCACAACTGGGAAAGTCTGTCACTCATAGTGATTCATAAGCTTTATTTTTTAGCTTTAGCTTTAGAAATTGAAAGGTTATTCCTCTTAAGTTAAAAATGAATTTAGGAAACAGGCTACATGAAAAAACAACATAAAACTTTTTGTTAAAGCAGTATACAGATATCTTGTGGGATAAGATTAATACATTTGTATTGTATTATATGATAGGTGGCTACAGAATTTCTGACCCTGAAAATCCACCACAGCAGATTTCACGACCATTTGAGAAAAAGAAGACTGGGAGACTCGTGCATCCGAGTTTAGCAATAGCTATTATTTTTTATTTCTAAATCTATAAAAAATTTATGTTCTATATTATTAATTCTCATTTGTGATCCCTTGTACAGCAGATATCTCAGGATTCCTCCTCTAGATGTTTCAACACTATATCTAGAAACACATTTTATTTTTATTTTTTGCAGGTAGCATATACTAAAAAGCTTACTTTTGAATGTGCCTACTCCTCTGTCCAAAAGTCTATGCCTTTCTGGGTTTGATTTTATGACTCCTGAATTGCTATATACTATCTCCTAGGTTGCACCTCCAACAGCAATTTTTTTTTTTTTTTTTTTAGACAGAGTCTCACTCTGTTGCCCAGGCTGGAGTGCAGTGGCATGATCTCAGCTCACTGCAACCTCCACCTCCTGGGTTCAAGCAATTCTTCTGCCTCAGCCTCCTGAGTAACTGGGGTTACAGGTGCATTACACCACACCTGGCTAATTTTTGTATTTTTAGTAGAGATGGGGTTTCACCATATTGGCCAGGCTGGTCATGAACTCCTGACCTCTAGTGATCCACCCACTTAGGCCTCCCAAAGTGCTAGGATTACAGGCATAAGTCACCGCACCCGGCCTACCATCAGCTTTTATACAAATCTTAACCACTTTTCCTCCTCACATACGCCACCAAAGAGCACAAGGCTTCAATGGGAAAACTTTTGCTTCTTCTTTTGTCACTGCTTTATTTTATATTTTGGAGATATCTATACATCATTTAAAAGTATCAGGGCTCCAGAAAGGTCTGCAGAAGTAAAATTGTATATATTCAAATTTTACATGTTGGCAAAATTATGTTTGGGTAGGAATTACTGAATTATACCACAAGTTTTATAAGTGTAAAATATGTGCAAATATGTACGCTATTTACCATATATCTCAGGTTATACAAACAGTAAATGCCTGACTGCATTGATTCTTTCTGATAAATTGCTTTGTAGAATCTTTTACACACTGATTTTTTTCAAAATTTAAGATACTGACAGAAACTGAATATTTAGTTCCTCTAGATATTGATCCAAGCCTCGTATAGAAACAAAATAAGACTTTCTATAAATGCTCATTAATGAACAGATTTTTGGGCCCCAGTGTGGCATTTTCCACCCACTCTGTGTCCTTACTACATTCTCAGCTGCCGTGACTCCTGCCACAATCTCCTGTGTATCTCACCGCTTTCCTGAGGGAGCTGGGTATCCTGGCGGGTCCAAAGCAGCTGGCTTGGTGGTCCTGAACTCTCATCCAACAGCACAACCTATTGCAAGACACAGAATGAATTCAGGAAAGTTATGAAGGTGAGAAAAATACATAGGAAGATGCAAGCAACCATACAGGTCTATCCACAGAAACTGTCTCCCAGAAATACCAAAAGAAGGGAGAAAATAATGGACTCAGTTCCTAATACCTTATGAAAACTAGAAATGGCATCTACAACTACAAAGCTTTAATGATCACCAGGTCAAGCAGCAAAAACAGTATCTAGGAGGAGACACCTCCAACAGTATCTAGAGTCAGACACACCTCCACTCACACTGCTTTCCTTCTTTCTTGGACTCACTTCTCCTTCTTCCTCCTTGTGATGTATCACAGACCCTCCTCTTCTTACCTCCTGCATCTTTTTACTCAGGTTTCTTTAACAGTCTTCCACTGCTGTCCTGGTTTCTTCCTACTGGTCAGATCCAGTTCTCAAACAAGCTGTGAAGTGGCTCCAGTTGATGCCAGCCTCCTTTGGAGAACACATGTTTTGGTGGTGCCAGCCAAAGGGCCCTTCTTGACCCACAGTGCCGCTACTGTTTGGCTTAATGTGTCAAACACTGCCCTGGATTTGGGGTTCATTAGCAACACTAAACCGCTGTGATCTCACATCTTGTTTCCCTGCATATTTGGTGAAGGGAAAAGAGGAATGTGACCACAGGAAAAAATAGGGAGTCACTGAGAACCTGAGGCACGAAGTCAAACTGAAAATGTGAACATATCCAGAATACAATCTCAACGGCTACCACCCTTGTCTGAGCCACCATCACCTGCTATCTCCCCTCCTTTCCATTACTGCGGTAGTCTTCTAACTGGTCTCCTTTCTTCAATCCTTGCCTTCCTCCTTTCTTTTTTTTTTTTTTTTTTTTTTTTTTTGAGACGGAGTCTCGCTCTGTGGCCCAGGCGGGAGTGCAGTGGCGCAATCTCGGCTCACTGCAAGCTCCACCTCCTTTCTTAATAGGGCAGTCTGAGTAGTCCGTTTACAACTTGAGTTGGATCATTTCATCGCTCTGCTGAAAACTCTCCAGTGGTTCATACTTAAAATAAAACCTGAAGTCCTTACCGAGGTATACAAGGCCCTACTGAATGTGCCCGTGACTTCTAACTTCCTCTCCTGCTCACCCAAAATAAGAGCTGAAGTCTTAAGAGTGGCATACAAGTCTACAGGATGTGTCATTCTCAACACCTTCTACTCTTCTCCCACTCCCTCAATCTTCAGCCATACCGACCTTCCTTCTCTTTCATCTTAGGGCCTTTCCATTGGCTGCTCCCTTCACCTTAAGCGATCTCCATGGCTAATAATCTTGCCTCCTTCAAGTGTTTTCTTATAGGTCATCTTCCCAAGGAGGTCTACTCTGAGTGCCTTATTTAAAATTGCAGCCTATCCCCTCCTTCCAATCCTGATGGGCCTTACCTTGCTTTACATGAATTCTTCTTTTCCTCTATAGCACTTTATAATTTTCCAGTATGGTGCATAAGTTACTTATTAATATATACATTGTTTACGGTGGTTCTACCTTCGCTAAAATCTAGGCTCTTAGGCTCCATGAGGGCAGGAATTTTTGTCGTCTTGTTCACAGTTGTATTCTCAACGCCTAAAACAGCGCTTGCAATAGTATGTGCTGGATTAAAAATTAGCTGACTGAATGAATATATGAATGGATGCTGTAGAGAAGAATAAAAAGAATGGGTCAGGAGGCGACAAGAGCAAGACTCCGGTCTCAAAAAAAAAAAAAAAAAATGGGTCACGAGCCCCTGGGAGGAGGTAGGGCAAATGGGCGGGAAATGCTCATTTTGGGGAATGGCTTCGAGGGAGGAAACCGCAGCCGACTCCCTCCTCAAATCTGGCCCCAAAGACCCGCCCCTGCCTGCAACCCCAGGGGCCCGGGTATTTAGGTGAGGGGGGCGACGGCGGCACCGGACTCCTCTCCTCTCAGCTGCAAATTCCGACCCACGACGGCCCAAGGCACAGACCTTCCCGCCGGTACTCTCCCCAAGAAATGAGAAACAGAAATATACAGAAGCTCCACTTCCTAGTCCGCCAATTATCATTTCCGGTGATTTTCTAGGAAAGGCGTCAACTCTCTGGTCTAGGCGTTCCCTTAAACTCTCCGCCCTCCTCCTCGCGGCTCAGCCTTCTAGGAGTTTGCGTGCGTTTATGGCCTGTGCAAAGGGGTTGCAGAAATATTACCCTTTTGCTCCTTTTTTCCCATGTAGAGGAACCTCTAGATAGGAATGGACAGAAGTTTTGTGACAAATATATGAAAAAGTTACTTTTAAATATTAACTAAGAACACAAATAATTGAATGTCTTTTTCAAAAGTAAAGACTATTTTAAGCCTATGCAGAAGTCGAAAGAAGAGTATAATTAACCCATATATACCCATCATTTACATTTAAAAATACATAAAATTCTGCCACACTTGTTTCATCCATCTCCATTTTTTCTTGCTGAAACGTTTTAAAGCAAACCCCAAATATCTTACTTTCAACTTCATTATGCATTTATTTTAAAAAGGATATTTTCCTACAGAATCACAATACCATTATCCCATTTAACAAAATAATTCCTGGTTATCATCTAATACCAAGTCCATATTATATTTCCCTAAATATATACATATGCTTCTTACATTTGTTTTCTATTTCATTCAAGATCTAAAGTTCCAGTATTTAATTTGGGCATGTGTCTTAATTCTTTTAAAATTCACATCTGAACTAGTTCCTCCTTCCATCCTCCTCTTCGTCTTCCCCTCATATAGTCAACTAATTGAACAAATTGGGACATTTGTCCTGAATGTTCTACATGCTGGCTTTGTCTATTTGTGTCCCCATTTTATTAGTTTCTCTAGCCTCATATTTCCTGTAAAACTTGATGTTACCTCTAAAGGTTTGATTAGAGTTAGGTTTAACTTTGTTAGTAAGAATCCTTAGGTGGTGCTATGTACTTTTTGCCACACATCAGGAAGCATATAATGTTTTTGATGCTAAGATTGACCAGTGGGTTTAATACTTGATAGCTGAATCCTTCCATGTAAACTTTCCCACTGGCTTTTAATCTGATAGATTCAGCCACCCCATTTCATTAGAGTTTGTAAAATTGTAATTTTTCTAATTCAATAATTTTTTCACATTTATTAGTTAGAACTCCTCTATAAAGAAAAACTTTCCTTCATCAATTTAGCAATTTAGGGCTATTTGGTTATCCTGAAATGTAGTTTGTACAGGAAAGAAAGACTGTTTAATTTTCAACATAATTGCCAATTTTCAGAAAAAGCAGTTGTGCCTTAGGTGCCATCAATGGTAACCACCTTACAAAATGTGATAGCCATCCTATAAAATGGCTAGCTGGGCCCTACTGTCCAGCATTCACATCCTTGTGTAGCCCCCTTCCACATTGTACCAGGGTTGGTTTGTGTGACTGAATGATCTGGTAAAAGTGATGCTATGTTTTGTTTGTTTGTTTGTTTGTTTGTTTTGTTTTTTGAGACAGAGTCTTGCTCTGTTGCCCAGGCTGGAGTGCAGTGGCGCGATCTTGGCTCACTGAAATCGCCACCTCCCGGGTTCAAGTGAGTCTCCTGCCTCGGTTTCCCAAGTAGCTGGGACTATAGGCATGCATCAGCATGCCCAGCTAATTTTTATATTTTAGTAGAGATAGAGTTTCGCCATGTTGGCTGACTGGTCTTAAACTCCTGGCCTCAAGTGATCTGCCCACCTTGGCCTCCCAAAGTGCTGGGATTACAGCCATGAGCCACCGCACCTGGCCGATGCTACATTATCTCTAATATTAGGTTATAAAATAATCTACGGCTTCTGTTTTGGTCTGTTTTTCTTTCGTAGATCACACACCCTTGGGAAAGCCAAATGCCATGTTGTAAGGAGAGGCCCAGGTGGTGAGGAACTGAAGCCTCCTGCCAGCAGACACATGAGTGAGTTTGGAAGTGGATCTTTCTACCTTAGTCAAGCTTTCAGATGACTGCAGCCCTGGTTGATGTCTTGGGTGCAACCTTATGACATACGCAGGACCACCAGCCAAGCTGCTCCCAGATTTCTGGTCTTCAGAAGCTGGGGAATGGCTTTGAGGGAGGAAACTGCAACAGATGTTTGGTTCTAAGTTTTATAACTAATGCAAAATTTTGTTTTCTCTTTTTGTGCATCTAATGTGCACTAATGTAAAATCTTTTTGTGCAACTAATGCAAAATTTTGTTTTCTCTTTTTGTGCACAACATCAAGTGTTCTGCATCAGTTGATAACTAATGCAAAATTTTGTTTTCTCTTTTTGCATATCAATATGAACACATGGATTTAAAAAAATACATTCAATGAGTCTCAATCAATTGCAGTAGTTATTCTTTTTAATGTTCAAATTATTTCATCTTTGGTCAGTGGGAGTCCCTTTATTTTATCTCCTGTGTCCTTTTCATCCAACTCTAAGCGTCTTTGCTTTTTTCCTTTATGGCAAGATAAATGTTTCAGACACATGTCATACATTTCCTGCCTCAGACCTGGAATCAGCCATTTTTCCAAGGTGTTCTGGTGCTTTCAGTGGGGGCAAGGATTGCATACCTTTGTGAATAGTCATGGTTAGCTGTTTTAAAAATGTATCAAAATGAAATAAAATTTGCTTAATTATGAGATTAAATCCTGGCTACCCCACTCACAATGTGTGTGTATCATACCTTAGACCCACCCTAGTTTGTCTATCTGCAAAATGGGTCCAGTGTAAATACCTAAATTTCAGAGCCGTTATAAGGATAAATTAGTTAATACGTGGAAATCACTTAACACATTGCCTGGCATCAAATTTCATGATGAGAATAACTGCAAACCTGGAAGATACTATAATGGTAATGAGGTATACTTTCTTCATTTTATACTTGAGAAAATTGAGGCCCAAGAGATTAAAAACTTGTTTGTACAAAAGAGGATAAAATTAGAAGAGAATCTAATGATTTCAGACTCTTGGATCTCATACCTAGACTACTTTGGATATAAATGCAGCCTTTCCAGCCCAGTCGGGTCTTCTATTTATTCAAAGACAAAGGAGGTAAGAAAATACTTGGCACAGTAGCAATAAAGTGGTATTATGGGAAGTGCAGAAACTTTATATTGAGAAGATCTTGTTCCTGATTCTGCAACTTGTTAGCTATGATACTGTGAGCAAGTTACTTAATTTCTCTGTGTCTTAATTGCTGCATCTGTAAAATAGTGAAAACAAATCCCTTATGCACAAATTCATTGTGAGAGGGTTAATATACATATATTGTATATGAAAATGCCTGGCCATATTGCTTGCTGAATAAAAATCATTATACAAAAATAATTTCTTCAATCCCCCAATTTTATAAAATTTTATTCTCATCTAATGGAAATTGGCATTTTAAGTAGAATGATCCCTAAGGATACTAAGTCTATAATTTTGTAAAGGACTTTAGTGAATACTGTGCAAAGGCACTGTGCAAGGAGCTACAGGAGAGATGCTATGCGTGGTCATCTACCTTCCAGGCTGACTGGGTACAGTCTTTCTTCCCAATATTAATCTACTTAATAGTAATAATGTCCAGTTCACATATTTTTGTGCAATACATTCATGAAAGACTGCTATACCCTTTGCTGTTATAAAGATACTTCCACAGTAGACTGTTAGCATATACTTTAATAATCTAGTTGGATTAAGAGACATTTATTTACATTATTTCCTCTAGGCTAACCACAATCGCTCATAAAACATCTCCTAAAATAATTAATACTGGAATTTTACCAGGGATCCATGTCAAATTTTTCACCCTGTTAATTCCACAGTTCACCTTCTTACTTTTTGAAAATTTGGATATTTGTCAGACTTGGGCATTTGTTGCACTACTCAAAAATGGGCTTCAGGGGTCCTGTGGCCAATCCTCCTGAACTTTAGTATGCTTTAAGCTGGGCATGAAAACTTGTAGTTACTGTTTAACTACCTTCCTTATGTAAATGTTTGTCCTATCATTCTCAACTTGAAGGTCACGACACTTGATGGAGATATGAAAGCCTGATAATGTTAAGTAATTTTATGGCCCTTCTGCCATCTGTCAAAATTACAAAATTCATTTCCTGGGGCTTTTGAAAAAAATAGCAAATATTTCAGGCATACTAAAGAGTAATATAAAGAACACTCAACATCTAGCTTAAGACATAAAAGATTATATACACAATTAAATCACCATGTCTACTCCTCACCAATTCCTTCCCCCTTCCTTCCCAGGTTAACTACTATCTTGATTTTGATGTTATTATTCCCATGCATGTTCACATATTTTTAGTACATACGTGGGTAGCCACAAATATTATATAGTATAATTTACATGTTTTACAAATTTTATACAAATAGTTTCAGTTTGTACATATCCTTTGAGCTCTAAATACTTGATTTCATTTTGGTTCAATATTTTTGGCAAGAATACATTATAGGGGTTACTATGTAATTTGTACTCAACTTTACATGTAGTTTTGAGATTTATCCTTCATGAAAAATGTGGCTCTAGCTCATCCATTTTAACTGCCATAGACAGGTCTTCCCATTTTCCTTCCAATAATCTTTTTAATTAACCTGATTGTTTTTCAGTTCAACTCAGAACTTGCTAGCAAGTATTTTTTTTGTCTTTGATATTTCATTTAAAAAATATTGGCAATCTTTTTGAAATAATTGTTTTCTTGGAATTTTCCCTTCTAAAAGGGTAATTTCCCATAATTTTTGGTAGAAAGTTTATATTCTAATATGGGAAAGAACAATCTAAAAAGTATTTACTATGGTACATAGAGGAAACTTAAATGCATATTATTAAGTGAAAGAAGCCAATTTGAAAAGGTTACATTCTGTATGATTTCAACTATATGACATTCTGGAAAAGGCAAAACTATGGAGACAGTAAAAAGATCATATATGTAGCATCTTAACCAAAGAAAAAAAAGTTCAGTGGTTGTCAGGGGTTGGAAGTGGAGAAGGATGACCAGGCCGAGCACAAAGGGTATTTTTAGGGCAGTGAAAATACTACGTATGATTATGTAATGGTGGATACATGCCACTATACATTTGTCCGGACTCCAGGTGATTGTCAATGTAGGTTCACCCCTCCGGTTGGGGATGCTGAGAGTGAGAGAGCTACACATGTGTGGAGCAAGGAGTATGGGACATCTCTGTACTTTCAGCTCAATTTTGCTGTGAACCTAAAACTGCTCTAAAAGATAAAATCTAGTAAAAAAAGTATTTATTACTTCCCCAAACTTTTAAATATATCTTTTGTGTTTAACCTTATTACTTACATAGATGGAACAATTTTCTGTTCAAGGTTCTGCTCATAATCATTATATTGAAACATAACATGATAAAAATATATTATAGAAAAATACCATATATTGGAAATATATTCTTGAAAATACAGAATACATTACTTATAACGTATGCTTGTTGGCCCTCATGATCCTAAAAGTTATAGCACATTTAAATGTATGTGACTTATGGTTCTTTTTAAAATAAAGCTACTGAGAACAGTCAAATGGTGATAGATCAGTCAAAGCTGCTTTGCGTCCATTTTGTTCAGACTCATTTCAATTCATTCTTCAACAAATATTTCTAAAAGCAACTGTACTAAGAGCTTGGAATAACATGAATGTACAAAACGGTTAAAGATCTCTGCCCCGTGGAGCTTATATTCAAGTAATTCTAATTGACTCGTGCTTTCATTTTCTTTGTTTTTCTCTTTGTATACTGAAGAGGATAAATTTCATATTCAAGCTAATCTGTTCCTCCCAAATGGTAACAGTGCAACACTGGCCAAGCTGATTCAGACAGCACAGCTTCCCGGTGTCTGCAGGGCTGGACCAAAGAGAAGAGTCTTCCGCGGGTGCTAGAAAAGCGAAGCACGCGTTACCATGGAGACTGCGGAATGGAAAAGCGTTCGGTTTCTTGTTTCCTAGCCGCGAATGGGGTCGTGGTTCCTTCGACCTCGCCTGGGGAGAAAGGGGACGGAGGGCTTCGGGCTATACTTGGGCCACACAGCCGGGAAGCTGAGGCCGCGGGGCAGGTCTGCGTGGCGGCGTCGAGTCCGAGCGGGGAAGCCCCTTTGCGGGAACTCTGGGGCGGGGCGGGGCGGGGAGGTGGGTAGGGAGGGTCCCGCCAGCAGAGGCATCTTATTTTTAACCTCTTCTCGGCTGTTTTTCTCTCGTCCATTTGCTCTCCTCCTTTAAGCCATCCTTTAATATTAAACATTAAAAAATATATTTGGCAAACATTTGAATAGAGCGCGCTTATTCTGGGTCAGGTGTCGTTTTAAATGCTTTATGTGTGCTAACTCATTTAATTCTCAAACAATCCAATGGGGTAAGTATTATCATTATCCCAATTTTTAGATAGGCCTGGAGAAGATAATAAACTTGCCAACAGTGTCACAGCTGGTAAGTTGAGGGTGGGAAACCCCGGCCTAACACATATATTTTCTTTTTATGTTCTGTAAGGATTGGGATCCTTTTCATTTTATTAGACAGAAAAGGACAGTTAGCACTGTCATTGAACCCTCAACATGGTATGATCTCTTGAGAAGATTAAGCAGCCATTTGGTGGCAGATTGATCACTTTGAACCCTTTCTATTAATACCTTGCAGTGGGCAGAGACTCATCCTTATAGGGATTTGTATGTATTCCAGGTATAATTTTGCTTCCCTGTCTCCAATGCCCCTGCTAATACTACCCAAGGACTCACAATGTCTGATGTACTGACATGGAACCTTGCCTTACATCTCAGACCAAGGGACTCACTTTACTGTGAAGGATGTGTTACAAAGGGCACATGATCATGGGATCTACTGGTCCTACCTTATTCTATATTACACAGAAATGGCAGCCTGTTTTTCCCCAGCTTTGCCAACATAATAATTAGCAAAACTTTTTAATTATATGATAATATATTTCAGGAAGAAAACACTGACAACCGTGAAATTCAAACTAGATAGTAGAGAAACTGGAATTGGGGAGACCAGTTAGAAAGCGGTTTGGAAACAAAGATACACATGAGTTTTAAAGCTGTGGGCTAATGTAGATGTTGATGTGATTATAAGTCTCTGTTAAAAGAGTTAGGGTGAGGTTTGAGGTGGTTTTAGATTATTATTTTTGCTAAAGAACCCAGAAATGACTAAGTTTATCCCTGTCAATCACTTCTGACACTCTACTCATATCATGTTCCTAAGGAAGTTGAACAAAAGGAGCGATAGCCAAATGGGACTAACTATAATAGCTAATATTTATTGAGTACTTATTAATACTGTACTAAAGATATTGTGTGCTACATTTTACTTAATATTCTATGGGGCAATAAGCAGAACTATTCAGAAATGATCCTGGGATCTCACTCTAGATTGCCCAGGAAATGTGCTAGCTACAACTGGAGTTTCCCGTTCCTCTTGGAAAGAGGGGCTGCACCTACGTATAGCTTTGCATGAGACCAGCTGCTTACACTTTCTAACACGAAGGGGCTGCAACTGTCCATAGGATGCATGGTCTCCAGGTGTTGGGCATCTGGTCCTCAGATGCTTCCTCAGCTCTGCTAGCATCTAAACCCAGACTGCCCGGCAATCAAGTAGTCTGCTTGTTGTCTTACTGAAAAGTGGTGTTCAAGTTTATCCTTGACAAGATAGAATAATTGGGTCAGGACCAGAGCCCCAACCTATTGCATGTGAAATGGCTTGTTCTTGCCCCTGGTTCACCTCTCCATGGGATTATGAGAGGATTGAGAACTCTATGCCTCTTGTGCCTGACTCTTGCTTTCTAAGTTTCCCCAGTAAATCTTATTCCCATTCCTTCGTTCATACTATGTGATGTTGTAGAATTTATTGCAAGGCCCATTGTACCACATCCTTGCAGCAAATTTATGACTCAGAAATTACTATTTCTATCTTAGAGATGAGGAATATGAGACAGAAAAAGTCACATAGCAGGTAGGTGGTAGGATTTGAAACCAAGTCATCTAGTTCCTGAGCCCATGATCTCAAAAACTTTGTTAAACTAAATGGAACTACTAATTTATAAAGAGCTAAGTGAGTGCTCAGATAATCAAATAATCACCCATGGAGAAGTTCAAATCTCTTGCAGAAGTTCAGATCTCTGTTGGAGCATGTAGCCTAGATTTAACCTCCAGTGGTGCCTTTAACTTTGTCCTAAGTCTTAGGCTTGTGTCAACTGCTGGCCAGCTACATGGAGGAAATAAGTTGAGAAAAAGCAGGAAGCAACATGGCTGGGTCTACAGAGAAGATCCAAGTTTAGCTGTCTCATGCTCTTTGGGCCCAGAGGAGAGGAAAAGCAAGACAAAGTCTTAAACTTTCCACCAGATATCAAGACCTTGTTGATGTCCTAGAACATGACCAATCAGATTAATGATGGCTCTACCTGGGAAGAGTAGCTGAGAAAGGATTAAGTTGAGGCAGGCCTGGTGTGGGCAGATGTTGTTGAATGTTTCCCACTACCCCTTCCAGCCCACTGGAAGAATGGGTTTTTTAAAAAAACATACACTCAAGATGAGCTCTATTAGTCATTTCCTCATCTCACTTATTATTCCAGTTAAACCAAGGCTGAAGGACAGAAAGATCACAAACTTATTAATCTCTGGACAAACCTAGCTCAGGGCCAGAATCAGGAGGGTGAATCTCAGGAGGCTGTAACCCAACTGATTGCAAATAGGATTTTGGAATAACAGTTTCTGAGGTGTCACAAAGAACTGTCAGCCCTTGTGTCTGTTCTCTAATAGAATTTTTACTTTCTTCTATGATCCCAAATTTCATAAACTCATACTATAACTAGGAAGTAGGCAGAAATGTCCTTTTGATGAACCAAATAATCAGAAACTTTTCTAATAATCCTCTTTGTGTATTTTTCCAGCCACAGAACTGAGTCATTCATTACCCAAAGCTAAACCCTGCCTACATGGTAACGCTTTTGTAAATGGGATTCTTTCTCTCTGACATCCCTTTTTCCTGCAGTCCCTTATACCCTCTCAATACCAGTGTGGCTCAAGGGGCCTTCAGTTCTGTCCTAATTCAGTCTCACATTCAAGCTGCACCTCCTTAGGCACCAGAATGCGAGAGAAGGTTGTTCCTTCAGGGAATATTTTCTTTTGGCAGGGCCATGTCACTGAGTCAGGCTTACTAATTATGTCCCAAGGTGGGCTCAGCCTCTGGCCCTTCAAGGAGCTTAGAGAGCTCTGGAGAGCTAAAGGACGCAATTCCACTCAGTTCCCCTAGGGACTTGTTTTGTTACGACCCTGTAGCGGTTGCCGCCAGCCTCCCGTCCCCGGACAGCGCGCCTCTTTCCTCCGCGCGGAATCTCGCCTTGCCGAGAGGTGACAGCGTGGTGCCAGGCCTCGCTCGCTCTCCGCGCCTCCTCGGCCTCGGCGCCCACTCTGGCCGCGCTCGAGGAGCCCTTCAGCTTGCCGCTGCACTGTGGGAACCCCTCTCTGGGCTGGCGAGGCCGGCTCCCTGTTTGCGGGGAGGTGTGGAGGAAGAGGCGGGAACTCTCTTGCGGGCCAGTGCGAGTTCCGGGTGGGCGCGGGTTCCGGGGGCCCCACACTCGGAGCGGCCGGCCGGCGCCACCGCTCCGGGCAGTGAGGGGTTTAGCACCCGGGCCAGCAGCTACGGAGGGGGCGCTGGGTCCCCTACCGCTGCCGGCCCACCCGCGCCGCGCTCGCGTGCTTCAGCCGCCTCCTCGCGGGGCAGGGCTTGGGACCTGCAACCTGCCATGCCCGAGAATTCGCGGTGGGCTCCTGCGCCGCCGGAGCCTCCCCGACGATTGCCGCCCCCTGCTTCACGGCTTCCCGTCCCATCCACCGCCCAAGGGCTGAGAAGTGCGGGCGCACGGCGCGCGGGACTGGCGGGCAGCTCCGCCTGCGGCCCGGGTGCAGGATCCACCAGGTGAAGCCAGCTGGACTCCTGAGTCTAGTGGCGACTTGGAGAACCTTTATGTCTAGCTAAGGGATTGTAAATATACCAATTAGCACTCTGTATCTAGCTAAACTGGTGGGGACTTGGAGAACCTTTATGTCTAGCTAAGGGATTGTAAATACAGCAATCAGCACTCTGTGTCTAGCTCAAGGTTTGTAAACAAACCAATCAGCACTCTGTGTCTAGCTAATCTGGTGGGGACTTGGAGAACCTTTATGTCTATCTAAGGGATTGTAAATACACCAGTCAGCACTCTGTGTCTAGCTCAAGGTTTGTAAATACACCAATCAGCACTCTGTGCCTAGCTCAAGGTTTGTAAATGCACCAATCAGTGCTCTGTGTCTAGCTAATCTAGTGGGGACTTCGAGAACTTTTGTGTCTAGCTCAGGGATTGTAAACACACCAATCAGCACCCTGTCAAAACGGACCAATCGGCTCTCTGTAAAATGGACCAATCAGCAGGATGTGGGTGGGGCCAGATAAGGGAATAAAAGCAGGTTACCGGAGTTGGCCATTGTAATTTGTTTTGTCCTGTTTCACATTGTGGTGGTTTTATTTTTTACTATTAGCTGCTTGGATCTGCATTTTGTTTTGTGAGGTGTAACACTGTGAGGGCCTGTAGTTTCACTCTTGAGGTCAGCGAGGCCACGAACCCACCTGGAAAAACAAACAGTTCCAGATATGCCGCCTTAAGAGCTGTAACACTCATTGTAGAGGTCTGCGGTTTCACTTCTGAAGCTAGCTAGTCGACGAACCCACCAAAAGGAACAAACTCCAAACACGTCTGACTATCAGAAGGAACAAACTCCAGACACGTTTTTTAGAACTAACACCCTGAGGGTCTGCAGCTTCATTCTAGAATCATGCCAAGAACTCACAAATTTCTGACACATTGCTTTTCCGCAGGAGGTTGCGGGAAGACGTACAAGGAAGGGTCGGGATGGTGCTTGAGGTGGTCAGAGCCACACCCAGGGCTGCATTCTCATCAGAGACACCTCTAAGTTACTGCGAAGTCGGAGACACCAGAAAGGAAGACTCCAACGTATTCCGAGAGGAGTGGAGGCAAATGGGATAGACTAGCCCTCCCGCCCGGGATCCCGCGTCTCGGGGAACGGAGACCCGGGCACACGCCACTTGCTTGCTGGGAGGTTCCTTACAAGTTACATAGAGGGGGAGCTTTTCCTGGCCAAACGTGGGTTATTCTCGTTCTCCCTTCCCCACACTGTCGCAGAGGAGGAAGACGTCTTGGTCGCCGTTAAGAGCTAAAACGAACGCCAAGGCTCTAAGTGGCCCTGGGGTCCAGGCTCGCCGGAGGCACCAGCGTGTGCAGGCCCGGAGCGCCGTCTTCTGGGCGAGGAGTGTCATTAGTAACACTTTATGTTGCGGATAGGTGAAAGAAAAACTGACGCTTCGGAGATGGGGGTGCCCAAAGAGGAAGAGAGAACAGCGATTAGGGCCTTAAACCTCACACCCGAACAAATTCGGCCGGAGTTACTGAGCGGCAGGCTCTCTGATGGAGATGGGTGCTTTCAGACTTAAGACGTGAAAACAAAGATCAGCCACTCATGAACGAACTCAAGGCTCACTGAGATGCAACTGCCATGAAGAAGTGGGTGCAGGGTGAGAGGTCTGTCTACCTCCTTAGAAGGACCACTGTGGCTTGTGCAGAGATCCGAAGTTTGTTCTCATTACAATGGGGACGGTGAGTGCTAGTAATGTGGACCATTTTTCAATAGCGCCACCTTGTGGCAGTGACAAAATGGCCGTAGTGGACTTGGGCTCAGGTGCTTTCTTGAGTGTGCAAACTGGTAAGAACTAATTTTTTGAATCAGATTTGGGGATTATTCAGGCAGAAGGGGATCCCTAAATGGAAACACTGACATTTTAATACTGCAAGTGGGGGATGATGAACAGACAAATAACAAGCAATGGGGGGCCACATTTGTGTTCAGAATTCATGGAACTTTTTTTTTTGATTTTTCTATTTCTCATTTTTTTAATGTATGTATTTTGAGGGTACATGTAATATTTTGATACATAACGTATAAAGGTCAAAGATAAGGATAATTTGTGTGTGTGTGTATATATATGTATAAACTTAAATGTCCTTTTTGCTTGGAACGTTCAAATTTTTTTCTAGTTATATCTAAATATATATCAAGCAATCTTTTAGATATTTTGAAATGTCTAACATTATTTTGAGACAGAGTCTAGCACTGTCACCCAGGCTGGAGTGCAATGGCGTGATCTCGACTCACTGCAACCGCTGCCTCCTGGGTTCAAGCGATTCTCCTGCCTCAGCCTCCCAAGTAGCTGGGATTACAGGCATACGCCATCACACCGGGCCAATTTTTATATTTTTAGTAGAGGCGGGGTTTCACCATGTTGGTCAGGCTGGTCTTGAACTCCTGACCTCGTGATCGGCCACCTCTGCCTCCCAAAGTGCTGGGATTACAGGCGTGAGCCACCGCGCCCAGCCAGAAGTGTCTAATAGATTATAGTCACCCTACTGATCTATTGAACTCTGGTTGTCTTTCTTCTACCTAATTGTATACTTATACCGTTTAACCAACCTCTCTTTATCCCACGTCTTCCCTCCTCTTTCCAGGCCCTGATAACCACCATTGTACTCCCTAGCTTCATGAGATCTTCTGTTTTAGCTCCCACATAGGAGTGAGAACATGCAGTATTCATGAATCACACTCATCATGAGCGATCTTCTTGGTTGTTGAATTGGGGTTGCTAGTTATTTTGAGAATTTTTGTATCTATGTTCATCAGGGATTTTGGCCTGTAGTTTTGTTTTTGATTTGATTTCTGACACAGATTTTGCTGTATCCTTGTCTGGTTTTCACATCAGGGCAATGCTGGCCTTGTAGAATGAGTTTAGAGGAATACCCTCCTCTTCAATTTTTTTTAAAAGAGTTTGAGTAGAATTGGTATCAGTTCTCTAAATATTTGCTAGAATTCAGCAGTGAGGCCATAATGTCCTGGGCTTTTCTTTGATGAGAGACTTTATTAAGGCTTCAATTTCATTACTCATTATTGGTTTGTTAGGGTTTCTATTCATGGTTCAATCTTAGTACGTTGTATATGTTTAATAATTTATCCATTTTTTCTATGTTTTCCAATTTGTTGGTGTATAGTTGTTCATATTCTCTGATTCTTTGTATTTTTGTGGTCTGTTATATCTCTTTTTTTTTCTTTCTGATTGATTTATTTGGGTTTCTCTTTTTTAGTCTAGGGAAAGGTTTGTTAATTTTGTCTATCTTCAAAAAATCAACTTTTCATTTCATTGATCAAATGTATTTATGTTTTAGTTTCAATTTCATTTATGTCTGTTCTGATATTTATTTCTTTCTACTAATTTTGGATTTGGTTCATCCTTGCTTTTTTGAGTTCCTTGAGATCCATTTTTAGGTTGATTATTTGAAGTCTTTTCCCTTTTTTGATGTAGGTGTTTATTGCTATAAAGTTATTGTTATGCTGTATTCTGTAGGCTTCGGTATGTTGTATATCTATTTTCACTAGTTTCATGAAATTTTTAAAATTTTCTTAGCTTATTCATTGACCCATTGGTTGTAGGAGCATGTTGATTTCCATGTGTTTGTATAGTTTCCAAGGTTCCTCTTGTTGATTTCTGGTTTTATTCCATTGTGATCAGAAAAGATACTTGATATAATTTTTACTTTTTTGAATTTGCTGAGACTTCTTTTGTGACTTAAGATATGGTCTGTTCTGGAGAATGTGCCATGTGCAAGTGAAAAGAATGTGTACTCTGTAGCAGCTGGGTGAAATGTTCTATAAATGTCAGGCCTACTTGGTCTAGTGTG
Organism: Homo sapiens; assembly: GCF_000001405.40. Taxonomy (NCBI): domain Eukaryota; kingdom Metazoa; phylum Chordata; class Mammalia; order Primates; family Hominidae; genus Homo; species Homo sapiens. Next base: position 284,946 of record NT_167246.2, read on the forward strand.
TAGCTTAATTCCAATGTTTCTTTATTGATTTTCTCCCTGGATAATCTGTTACTGAAAGTGAGGTGTTGAAGTCCCTACTATTATTATATTGGAGCCTATCTCTCCCTTGAGATTTATTAATGTTTGTTTTACATATTTGGATGCTCTGGTGTTGGGTGCACAGATATTTATAATTTTTAATATCCTCTTGATGAATTGACCCCTTCATCATTATATAGTGACCTTTTGTCACTTTTTACATTCCTTGACTTGTAGTCTGTTTTATCTGATATAAGTATACCTAATCCTGTTCTCTTTGATTTCCACTTGCATGGAATATCTTTTTCCATAAATTCACTTTCAACTTATGTATGTCCCTATAGGCAAGGTGGGTTCTTGTAGCACCACATAGTTGGGTCTCGTCTCTTTACCCATTTAACTTCTATACATCTTTTAATTGGAGAATTTGGTCCATTTATATTCAGTGTTATTATTGATAAGTAAGGACTTATGACTGCCATTTTGTTGCTTGTTTTCTGGTTGTTTTGTAACGTCTTTCTTCCTTTATTCTTTTGCTACTGTATTTCTTTGTGGTTAAGTTATTTTCTCTGGTAGAATGCTTTAATTCACTGCCTTCTATTTTTAGTGTATTAATTACAGATTTTTGCATTGGGGTTACCATGAGGCTTACAAAACATATCTTATAGCTACTTTGTTTTATTATTACTTATTATTCTGATACAGGGTCTCTGTCACCCAGGCTGGAGTGCAGTGGTGAGATCTTGGCTTACTGCAGCCTCTACCTTATTGAACTCAGGCAATCCTCCTACCTCAGTCTCCTGAGTAGCTGATACCATAGACACATGCCACCATAGCCAGCTAAGTTTTGTATTTTTTGTAGAGATGAGGTTTTGCCATGTTGCCCAGAGTGGTTTTGAACTCCTGAGCTCAAGTGATTAGCTAGCCTTGGCCTCCCAAAGTGCTGGGATTACAGGCATGAGCCATGGCGCGCAGCTGATATTTTACAAAGATGACAACTTAACTTTGATCACAAAGAAAAGACTAGAAACAAACAAAAAAACTTAAATAACCCCCACAAAACCCTGCCCTTTAACTCTATACCCCTACATCTTGACTTTTTGTTGTCTCGGTTTACATATTTTTATATTGTCTATCTCTTAGCAGGTCACTGTAGCAATTATTGTTTTTGATAGGTTTGTCTTTTAGATTTCATACTACAGTTATAAATGGATTGCACACCACAATTAGAGTATTAGAGTATCCTGGGTATGTCTTGTACTTAATGTTACCAGTGGTTTTTTTCCTCAAATATTTTCTTTATGCATGTTAGCATCTTTTTCTCTTAGATTGAAGGACTTCATTTGCCATTTATTTTAAGATAGGCCTGGTGGTAGTGAATTCTCAGCTTTTGTTTGTCAAGGAAAGATTTTATGTCTTCTTCATGTTTGAAGAATAGCTTTTCTGGTACATTAATCTTGGATGGCGGTTTTATTTCTTTTAGCACTTTGAAAATGCCATCCCACATCTACCTGGCCTGTATAGTTTCCATTGAGGAGTCTGTTGCCAGAATAATTGGAGCTCTTTGTATGTTATTTACTTCTTTTCTCTTGCTGCTTTTATTTTTTATTTTATTTTATTTTTTTTGAGACTGAGTTTTACTCTTGTCACCCAGGCTGGAGTGCAATGGTGCTATCTCGGCTCACTGCAACCTCTGCCTCCCGGGTTCAAGCGATTCTCCTGCCTCAGCCTCCTGAGTAGCTAGGATTACAGGCACCCACTACCATGCCCCACTAATTACTGTATTTTTAGTGGAGACAGGGTTTCACCATGTTGGCCAGGCTGATCTCGAACTCCTGACCTCAGGTGATCCACCTGCCTTGGCCTCCCAAAGTGCTGGGATTATAGGCATGAGCCATGGTGCCCAGCCAACTTTTGTAATCCTCTTTGTCCTTGACCTTTGAGAATTTGATTATTGTATGTCTTGGGGTGGTCTTATTTGGGTTGAATCTGTTTCATGTTCTCTAATCTTGTACCTAGATACTTATATATTTCTTAAGTTTGGAAAGTTTTGAGTTATTTCTTTGGATAAGCTTTCTAATTTTTGCTCTTTCTGAATTCCCTCTTGAGCACCAATCATTCTTAGATTTGTCCTTTTGAGGTACTTTTCTATATTATTTAGGTGATCTTCATTCCTTTGTATTCGTTTCCCTTTTTTCTCCTCTAACTGTATTTTCAAATAGCCTGTCTGAGTTTACTAATTCCTTCCACTGTCTGATCCATTCTGCTGTCGAGAGTCTCTAATAAATTTTTCAGTTTGACAAGTATATTTCTCAGTTCCAAGATTTTTGTTTGATTTTAAAAAATTATTTTAATCTCTTTGTTAAATTTCTCTGATAAATTTTTGAATTGCTTTTGTGTGTTATCCTTGAGTTCACTGAGTTTCTTTAAAACTGCTATTTTGAATTCTTGGTGAGAGAGCTCACATACCACTGTCTTGCCTAGGGTAAGTCATTGGTTCCTTGCTTTGTCTGTTTGGGGAAGTCATGTATATTAGTCTGTTCTCACACTGCTATACAGAAACACATGAGACTGAGTAATTTATAAAGAAAAGAGGTTTACTTAGCTCATGGTTCTGCAGGCTGTACAGAAAGCATGACAGCATCTACTTTTTTTTCGCCCTCTTGGTCTTGCCTTCTTTCTGACATCACATGGAGTCTGCAGTCCAGGTTTTCCTTGGCCCTAGTAAATGACTGGAGCACTGCCGGACCCAAATGTAGAAGGTCTTACGGGGGATATCCCAATAGGGTGGGAAGTCTGGCTAGAATTTCGTGCTCAGGGAACCTGTGGAACATACCTCCTATGGTGTGTCGCTGCTGACCAGCTTCGCTGATTTGGCGTCTCCTTTGGCTGAGTTAAAGAAGAGTGTTTCTAGGGTTGGGGAAGGAAGTCCCACCTCCCCACTTTTTCTCTGGTTGTCTTTGGGAATATTTCTCCCTTTAAGTACTTAGGGACAGATCTCTTGCCAGGGAATCCAAGATGGTGGGGAAACTGGTTATCCACTTCAATCTCACTTTTTCCAGTGTAGAAACTGGCGGTGAGGTGGGGGAAGTTTTCCACATGCTTGGTGCTAGGCAGATTTGGGAGAGGGATGTCACGGATTTGGAAGTCTGATTCTTACAGCGTCTGCTTGAAGTTTTTTACTTCTTTGTTGCCACGGGCACTGTTCCATCTTCATATTTGAGTTCTGGGATATTGCTGGTGATAATCTCAGCACCGTGTATTTGTTGTAGGTTTTCTGTGGAGGAAAAATAAAGCCAGCTTCCTTATATGCAGCCATTTTGGAACCAAACTCTCACACATTCCATGGAACATTTCTAGCCAGCAAGGTACAATGACTAGCAAGGAAACAAACTTTTTTTTTCCTTCAGTATTTCAGTTGACTCACAAGAACATGAAATGTGACCTATCTTTTCATGTGGCCAACTTTAAATGTTAACTTAATATCTTAGATAAAAATAGTTTAAAATACACATCCATTTAAGTTAAAAAGAATAATTTAAAGTTTTATTATTCTTTGATAGTTTTTCTTTTGATGCTACACCTAGTGACTACCATATTTTAAAACAGACATGTTCTAATTGCTCTTGAATCTTCAACTCGAAAGAAACTATGGTTTTATAAATTAGTGATAACAGTGAGTGTCCTCTTTAAAAAATATCTGCCATTTCTGACAAATGACAAATAGCTGATATTATTTTTTCTTAAAAGGAACTCTATTCTTTTAACATACAGTCTCTCTTGTTTAATAAAACTGAAAGTAAAGAATAGATAGAAATAGTCCTACCTCAGTTCAGGTCAGGTTTTGTTGCCAACAGAGTTATGAAAACTTTTAGTTTTCTACCTGGGTGTGGTAGCTCTCACCAGTAATACCAGCTACTTGAGAGAACTGCTTGAGGCCAGGAGTTTGAGACCAGCTTGGGTAACATAGTGAGACCCTGTCTCAAAGAAAAAAAGGAAAGCTTTTAGTTTTCTGACCATTTTATTTTTGTTTATTTTAATTTTTTTATTTCAATAGGGTTTTGGAGGGACAGGTGGTGTTTCCTTACATGAATAAGTTCTTTAGTGGCGATTTCTGAGATTTTGGTGCACCCATCATTTGAGCAGTGTACACTGTACACAGTGTGTAGTGTTTTATCCCTCACCAGCCCCCACCCTTTTCCCCGAGTCCCCAAAGTCCAATGTATCGTTCTTATGCCTTTGCATTTCTGACCATTTTAGATTCAGAATTATGGATAAGGGATTTTCAGCCTATACTGATCATGTCTAGAAGTTCTGTTTGTTTCTTTAAAAAAAAGTTCATGTAGCAGCAGATAACTAATACAACCAGAAATAAATGAGATATTGTTTCCTCAAATTCTTTTTTTTTTTTTTTGAGATGGAGTCTTGCTCTGTTGCCCAGGCTGGAGTGTAGTGGTGCAATCTCGGCTCACTGCAACCTCTACCTCCTGGGTTCAAGCCATTCTCCTGCCTCAGCCTCCGGAGTAGCTGGGACTACAGGTGCCCACCACCACGCCCAGCTTACTTTTTCTATTTTTAGTAGAGATGGGGTTTCACCATATTGGCCAGGCTGGTCTTGAACTCCTGACCTTGTGATCTGCCCACCTCAGGCTCCCAAAGTGTTGGGATTACAGGCGTGAGCCACCATGCCCAGTCACAAATTCTTGATACTATATTATGTTATTGTTACCAGGCAAAAGGGGCTCACTGCTGGATGTGCTAGAAGCTAATACTATGACACTGGATTTCTAAGAAAAGAAAAGCTCTTTATTATAGGTTGACCAATAAGGAGACAGGAATCTAGCTCAACTGTATCTCCCTGTGCTGGCTTTAAGATAGTAATTTTATTAGAAAAGGTTTGCGGGTGGATTCTGGGATTAGCAGGTGGTTGGTGGAAGGAAAAGGGAGGTCTAGAAAGTCCTCAAATGCACAGTTATCTCCATTCCTCTTCATGGGTCCCACATGCAAATTCAAAGGGAGTTAGTATGAAACATGCAGTGGAAATCGGGCTGTGACATTAACAAGCTTGTTCTGTGCAAACTCCATTTGGTCATGTTGGTTCCAACTAATTTTGGACACTCTTGTTATCTCACAAATGGAGGGAATTTCAGCGTTTCAGCAAGTTATTTATTTTCTTATCTGCTATCTGGCAAACTCAAGATTTCTGTTAGTTATTGGTTTCCTATTCTTTGGGGCACAATTTCAGTTTCAACTTTTCAGCAAGTTGTTTCTTTTTTTATATACTATCCTATAAACTCAAGAATTTTATCATTAAAAAAACTCTTTGGGGCATGATTTTTTCATCAAACTTAAAAAAAAAATCCCCAATATAACAGAGAATTTCCAGCATTTTAACCTGAAACTGAAGACCATTACTGAATGCAGTTTTCAATTGCCAATCTAGAAGTTTACTAATTCTGTGTATTGGATGTGCATATCCTTGTCAATCATTTTGGCCTAAGGGAGTCTTTCTTTTAATCATCTTTTCAAATAGGAAAAAGCACCAAATTAAGTGTTTTCTCAAACTTTTTCATTATAGTTATTTCATTTCTAACAAAATTTTAGTGCCACAGTTATATTGTGTAACTGCTTATGTACAGAGGCTCTTTGGAGGACCACCAACCATTGTAATACCAAAGATTTTTGCTACCTCCCCTTGAATCAATTTTGCCCCTGTGGGGATGATATCATCCCTGATATGAAGGCATATATTGAGAGAAATAAGACAAACTATTAAACCAAATTTTAATAGATGACAGTACTTTAAAAGAAAATTAATTTAAAAATTTAGTCATTTCTGGGATAAGATAATGAGCAATTTCTTTTATTTCTCTTATTTTCTAGTTTCCATTATGTACTTATATATACCTCTAGGGGATGTTGTAAAGATTCTATAATATTATGTATGTATTCTATAATATGTATGTGAAAGAAAAACTGTATCTTTTCCTTTGCTAACTCATAGATGTTTAAATATATTACATTTTAGGTGTTAGATGATTTATATATCTTCAGTGTTAACACAAACTGAAGATATTGCTCTAATATTCATCACCCAATGAGAATTTGTGATATTCTGCAGATTTGGTAACATTTTCATGGAGATTTAATAAAAAACATTGACATATTCATTCTACAGACATTTATTGGCTATGTAATTCATGTCAGAAACTGATTCGACACAGCAAAATCACGTGAATAAGAAGGTCTATATTGTTGAAAAGCTTACCAATGCATCTTCTTCAAACACACATACAAACAACTAAATAAAAATGGGATAATGCCCTATACTTATATGGTCAGGGTTTTCAAGGACTATAGACCATAGACTGATGAGATTCATAAATACTTTTCAGTTGAGACAAGATTTCAGCAGGGTATGAAGGTTGAATAGAAGGTTTTTAAGTGATAAATGCCTAGCAAGATTTAGGATCACTCATTTTTAACAAAGGAAAATTGATACTCTTTTTTAGTGGCCACAATTTTATCATTCTATACTTTTGTCTTTCTTCCATAGTCCTTATGACACCATGAAGTTTACAGTGTCTTCATGCTTTCCTTATCCTGATTTCACTGTCCTCTCTCATATTTTTTTATGTTTACCAAGGTATGTACAACTGACAATTTTAGAGTCATCTGCAAAGAAAAGATAACTATTAGGTACTGGGCTTAACACCTGGGTGATGCAATAAGATGTATAATAACCCCCCATGACACGTGTTTATGTAACCTTCACATGTACCCCCAAACCTAAAATAAAAGTAAAAGAGGAATCAAAACCTTGAAATAAAGGTATGATGTTCTTGCTGTGGAAATTTAGAAGCCACAGGGTTTAAGGATTGTAGAGACATCATAAGCCCTATTACTCCCATCTTCCTACTCAATTACTTCATGTAAGCTGTGGCTTACTCTGTCTTTGAAATGACATAGCAAGGGCACTATAGATATGGGGAATCTTTCACTTGCAGAGAGGATTTTCAATCTCTGAAATGGCTGATTTGCAGAGAAGTGGAGTCGTTTATTCTCTAGCACAGGGATTTCCAGATTTTGAATGTATTTACCAGTAAAACAAAGTAAAGCAAAGTAAAAACATAAGCTTGCTAAATTTTCTTTTGTCATTTAAGAGCACCAAGCTTTGAGCGTGAATGTGCTTTGGATAAATGAATTGATTTCACTTCTCTTGATAAATGCCAATATTTCTTTAGTGCTCTACATTCTACTTTTTTCCATCTAATTCATGATTCTGCTGAAGATTTTTTCATCCACAGTATTCTCTTCAGTGCACTCTTTACATCTTTGTTTCTTAAAGTGTAGATGGGAAGGTTAAGGCTGGGTGTGATGATTGTGTAAAAGAGTGAAGAACTTCCCTTCATCTTGGGATATGGTATTCTGTGGCTTCATGTATATATAAATGATTGTTCCATAAAACAGAATTACTACTGTGAGGTGGGAGCCACATGTATTAAGGATCTTTTGCAACCTTGTTGCTGACTTGATCCTCATTACAGCTTGAGTGATAACTCCATATGAGATAAGAATTAGTGATAGAGGTACGAAAAGAAATACCACTCCGAAAGCAAAGACAACAATCTCAATTACTTTTGAATAGACACAAGCCATCTTGATCAATGCTGGCATCTCACAGAAAAAATTATCCACTTCCCGGTGCCCACATCTTGGCAACTTCAAAGTCAAGGAGCAAACAATTAAGGCACTGGCAAGACCACTCAACCAGGCAGTGGCAAAGCTGAGGGTGCATTTTAAGGTGTAGTGAAGAGGTTGACAGACAGCAGCATAACGATCATAGGCCATCACAGCCAACAGAAGACATTCTGTGGCTCCCAAGTCAAGGACAAAAAAGAATTGGAGTACACACCCTCCATAAGTAATAGATTTTTTTGGGCCCCATTGATTTGCCAGCATCTGGGGGATAATGCTAGTTGTATAACAGAGGTCCAAGAAAGACAAATTGGATAAGAAAAAATACATGAAGGTATGGAGCTGGGTGTCTAGATAAGATACAAGAATGATGGTTGTATTTCCTACCAGAGTCACAATATAGATGATGAAGACAACCACTGAGATGATGTGCTCTAATTGGGGTCGATCAGAAAACCCCAGAAGGATGAAATCTGTTCCAGAACTTACACTGCTTGTTTCCATTGTTCCTTAAGAAAAGCTAGCAGGCAATATCATGGTAACCAAAAATAGTGTCAGGTTTAGGTAGAACTGAAAATCTCTGAAGTTTCTCAAGGGTATCCAAAACTCTCTTATTTGCATGCTCTCTCTCATTTGGAACATCTCTTTTAACATTTCCCTATGGCCCAGTGCTCACAACTTGTTCATATTTAATCCAAAATTAATAATATGCTAAATCCAATCAGGCTGAATTGTAAATCATTGAAAAAACTTAATTTGCTATGTCATTCATTGTTCTATGTATTTCAATTAAGTAATAAAATCATGAAGTCAATTATGTGATTTTAAGAGAGGCATATGTATTGAGGAGTTGTTCCTCTTTGAAGCTATGACATAAGCATCACTTGATCATGATAAATCCTTGCATTATTGAAGGAGTTAAGCTTGAGGTAAAAAGTTAAATGACATCTTTTTTTGGAATAAACTCCACCATTTGATAGCAGAATCACTTTCAATATTTACTTGCAAATATCTACATTTCAGCCATTATAATTATAATTATCCTCACCACCAACTTACTCCTCCTCCTTATATTTTTTTTACCCCTCAACATTGCAGGCACTGTTGTTATTCTATCAATTTTGGTGTTCCCTACTACACTGCCTTTTTTTGTGAGTGTGTTTTTTGTTGCCAGGAAATAATTATCTTTCTTATTAATATTTACTTACATGTATAAAGGCCTATATGTTTTTTAAACAGCTTTAATGACTAATATTACACCATCTAAACAGCCTTACTGATTTGTTGCAGTTAAATATTGAGGTAATTCCAGAACTATTTGGCCACCACGTACAACGATCTGTGTCCAATCCTACTTACCAGCCATTCAGCAGAATTAGCTGGGCGCTGGGCAGGTAATTCAAACAAAAAGCAGTTCATTAAATAGCCAGAGTTGTTTTAATCTATGGAATTTACCAATCCAACATGAGTGGATGTTCTGATTGCTTTGAAATCCTTTAGGTAAAACCATCACCCCATTGGGCTCTAAAAGAATACAGATACAGATAAAAATGTCATCAATCTCACCATTTCTGATTATTGTATCATATCACTAAGTAGACAAAATATTTAATGACTGACTGAGTTAGTTTTTTTTTGTTGTTGTTGTTTGTTTTTTTTAAAGATAGATTCTTGCTCTGTTGGCCGGATGCAGTGGCTCATGCCTGTAATCCCAGCACTATGGGAGGTTGAGGTGGGCGGATCACTTGATGTCAGGAGTCCAGACCAGCATGGCCTACGTGGGGAAAAATTTTGTATTTTCTACTAAAAATACAAAAATTAGCTGGGCGGTGTGGTGCGTGCCTGTAGTCCCAACTACTTGGGAGGCTAAGGCAGGACAATTGCTTGAACCTGGGGGCGGAGGCCACAGTGAGCCGAGATCGCACCGCTGCACTCCAGCCGGGGCGACAGAACGAGACTCTTGTCTCAAAAAAACCAAACCAAACAAAACAAAAATCTTGCTCTGTTGCCTAGGCTGGAGTGCGGTGACACAGTGACAGCTCATTGCAGCCTGGACCTCCGGTGCTCAAGTGATCCTCTCAACTGAGCCTCCTAAGTAGCTGGGACCACAGATGCATGCCACTGTGTCCAGGTAATTTTTAAATGTTTTTGTAGTGATGAGGTCTCACCATGTTGTTCAGGCTGGTTTGGAACTCCTTGGCTCAAGCAATCCTCCTGCTTCGGCCTGAGCCCTGGTGTCGAGCTAATGGCTGAATTAGTTTAAACATTTTTTCTGCTGATAATTTCTGACCACGAAATTCAGACCTACCATACTTTACATTTATAGTGTCCTTGAGGCCATGGAATAGAAACCTCATTTGTTTCTGGTATATAGTAAAACAAGGGGAAGATAGATCATTTATATATGTCATTGTTATAAGTGTTTCAGTTAGAACAGAATAATGTTATAATCATAAAGAAGGAAATGTTATCAAGTAGTATGAGATAGAGGTGTAGTTTTTCACAGCACAAAAATGGAAATCTAATTAATAAGTGTCCAGTTTTTTTATTTTTCGCAATAGGTTGTCAACTAAGGAATGATAGTGCTTCATTGCACAGATTCTGAACTCAAAGTCCCTGGCATCAAATTCCAGCTTCACCACTTGGAAGCTGTATCCTTGGGCAATTATTTAACTTGTTTGTGTAGGAGGTTCTTTATACATGAAGAAAATATAATAAAATTTCCTTCCTCAAAGGGATGTTGTGAGGGTTAATATTTATAAAAGCACTTGGAACTGAGCTTGGTTCATCTTTAATTCTAAAAATGATAACCTATATTCACCTGTCATTGTTATTCTGTCTACCCCTTAGTCCATTAATTTTTCACACTAGTGATTTTACCGCAATGACCTAGAACTAAACTGGAATGTTTTTTAAAAAATTTGTGTAACTTTAAAATTTAGAAACATTTTTATATACACAAAAATATGCAGAATCACAATATGCACATTGAACTGAAAAGCTTCAGGAGCAGGAGATGACTTGAGGTCTCCAAATGCTTTGATTAAAAAATTCACTCAAATTCTTTTGACTGCTGTTGGGTTTGTGTTGGGAATTAAAAGGTCATGAATTTCAAAGTGGAAAAAAACCTCAGAAGTCATGAATCTAGCCTTCTGCTCTGCATAGGAGATCCTTCAACAGAATCGCTACACAGCTGCTACTGGCATAACTTCAGTGACAGGGAAGTCAATTACACTTGAAGCAGCCTCTCTCCTTTAGTCAATGCTGCTTATATTGAACTCAAAGATGATTCCTTGCCCAGCCCTGGCTGATTTTCTTTATTCTGAAAATAACACAGAGTAAGTCAATTTAACATGGCCTCATAAAAACCCCAGTATTATTATATGAACAGTGCATGGATACAACAAATAAAAAGTAAAGCTTGGTGAGTTTCAGTGTATATTCTTGTAACTATCACCTAAATCAATAAATAAAACATTGATGATTACCCTAGGAGCTTTTCTTTGTGCCTTTTACCAATGATAACTCTTCCCTATCCCCTGAAGTATCCACTATGCTGCTATTTATAGTAATCCCCTCTTTGCATGTTAGTAGGTTAATTACCCAAATGTGCACCTCTAGACAATATTGTATAGTTTGGCTTACTAAAAATTTTTTATATACCTTTTAACTCTCTTTTAATATTAGAAACTGTTACCAAATATATGCTTAGATTTCTCTTCCCAGACAAAGCACATTGTTAGCTGTTCCTACCACTACATGCTCTTTTATTACCATGCTTTTTCTTGTTGCTCTCCCTGGACACACCATGATTTGTCAAGTGCTGCAAATTAGTGAGTATAAAAGTAAGCACGATACTCCACTTATGCAACACTACTGAAGAGAATAGTGAATGTCTATGATCTGCATAATTTTCTAAAATATACGTTGGTTATTTTTAGCAGGTATAAGACATTACTGGCTCTCTTTAAACTTTGGATCACGTAAAGCCCTAGGCATTCTTATTAGAAATGCTGCCAAGTCAGGCATGACAATTTATGTAGTTTAATGTTGTGAACTCAAATACAGGACTTTTCATTTAATACTTTTTAACATTTTCATATTGATTTAAGCTTTGGATCTCAAACCAGATATTTTAATTTCAATTTAAAAGTGAATGTGTTATTTGAAATGAGACTTACAACACTCCAGCTGAAGAAATAGATGGCAAAAAAGAGGCATGCTACATTTTAATCGAAACTCAGTTTTTCATTTTTCATAGTATGGACTTCAGAGCCCAATAATCGCGCATAACTTAACATTTTGCTTTCTCCAGTGAAATCTGAGACAAATGAACCAAACATATTTCAACATAATTTATGATATTGAGAGAAAATTAGAAGCACAAAATTTCAAAACTGTCTAAAATTTTATAAAAAGTAAAAATATATGGATCTTTTATTATAAAGCATGAGGTATATTGCTGTAGTCATACAAAATTCAAGATGAAAGGACGAAATAAAAATAGGTAAGACCCTAGACTGGTTCAGACCGCCTGTGATTTTTGTTACAATTGATCTCAGCCATTTCCTTACTCTGTGGACTTGAGCAGGCTAATTAACTTCTTTAGCCTCTGATTCCTCATCTGTAAAATAGCTATTCTAATAGCACCTGCTTTGTAGGATGGCTATGAGGAGGATTACATGCTATGCTAAATATTTAGCATGATGCTTGGTGCATAGAGAGCATTCAGTAACTTCAAAATCCACTAACTGCTCTTGTTGAAGTTTAATCCTCACTCCTGAGGATTAAATTTATATTTAATCCTCAAAATGTTAGTATTATTTATATCTCACATACCTTTCACATTTTTGCTTTCATGTTAGACTGAGTCTTACGCTATCTAGGATCTGTTTTCTACCTGGAGTCATCCTCTGTTAGAGATAGCAGAGAATACTTACCAGAAGCTGAAAAGATTAGAATATATTTTCATGAAGGAAGAATTCAGAGCTGTCATGTTCTCATGTAGTCCAAACATACCCATGTTCCCATTATGACGTTTCTTCATTTAATTAATAAATTAGAAAAAAATTCTTGTTGGATGAGTTACTAATGCCCTGAAGAATTGGATTAACCACTGGTCATACTGACACTACAGTGCCATTCACACTTAAATGCAACAGCTGAAATAAGATTTAATAGAAGTCTCTATTTAATGTGGATATTGGAAGTAAACTAAATGTGGGACTGGTGAAAATCCTTAATTAGGTTTGGTTAAATATATTTTCGGTTGGCTATTTGATGTCTTTTTAATGTATACTCTTGTTATTCATATTTACAGCTAGATTTTTGCCTAATTAAACAAGGAGAACACTGTGTTGGTCAATGTATATTCCAAGAATCATTAACATGTAGCAGGGAAGTATTTATTTACAGCTCTAAAGGCTACCTATGTTGATATGGTTTAGACCTTGAGGACTGATGCCCCACAGAGGTGATTAAGTAAAGCTATGACTGTGGTCAGAGGCATATCCAAATAATAATTTCATGAAAAGTTCTCTTAACACATTAGGTTTCGGCCAGGCACAGTGGTTCATGCCTGTAATCCCAGCACTTTGGGAGGCCAAAGCGGGTGGATCACCTGAGGTCAGGAGTTCAAGACCAGCCTGACCAATGTGGAGAAACCCCGTCTCTACTAAAAACAAAAAATTAGCCGGGCATGGTGGTGCATGCCTGTAATCCCAGCTACTCAGGAGGCTGAGGCAGGAGAATCACTTGAACCTGGGAGACGAAGGTTGCGGTCAGCCGAGATTGCGCCATTGCACTCCGGCCTGTGAAACGAGCGAAACTCTTGTCTCAAAAAAAAAAAAAAAAAAAAAAAAAAAGACGTTGGGTTTCATCTTTTCTTTTTCTTTTTAAGTTTTTAAATTTAAAAATTTGGAGATTAATTATATATTATATTAAATTTACATTGAAAAATGAATATATGATGTAAACTATATAAAAATGAACACATTTACTTGAAATTTGGTTTATTCAATTGGTAAGATCAAAATTGGATAAATTAAGTTATGTAGGTGTTGTGTCTATAGGACAAAATATTTAGTTTTAAAAAATTTATGGGATAATCATAATTCTAGGTTTATGAATTATTATCATCGTTCTATTTTCAGCAAATTAAAAATAGTATGAACACTCTGGAGCTTATCCCTCAATTTATGGTCTGGAAACTTACCACCATCCCCAGCTTCTGGTAATTACCATTCCACTCTCTGCTTCTATGAGTTTAAGTTTTTCAGATCCTCATTTAAATGAGATCATGTAGTATTTGCCTTTCTGTAACTGGCTCATTTAACTTAACATCATAGCTTCTAGGTTCATCCGTGTTGTTGGAAATGACAGGGTTTCCTTTTTTTGTTACGAGTGAATAGTACACCACATTTTCTTGATTTATTCATTCATTGATGAACACAAAGTTTGATTCCATATCTTTGCTATTGTGAATAATGCTGCCATAAACATGGGAGTGCAGACATCTCTTTAACATACTGATTTCAATTCCTTGGATATATACCCAGTGGTGGGATGGCTGGATCATATGGTAGTTCTATTTTTAATTTTTGGAGTAACCTCCACACTGTTTTATATAGTGGCTGTATTAATGTACATTCCCACTAACGGTGTGCAAGGGTTCCTTTTTTTCCCTACATTCTCACCAAGCTGTTATCTTTGCTTTTTATGACAATAGCCATTCTAAGAGTATGAAGTGATATCTCACTGTGCATTTAATTTACATCTCCCCATTGATTAGTGATGTTGAGCATTTTTCATATACATGTTGGCCATTTGTAGGTCTTCTTTTGAGAAATGTGTATTTGGGTCTTTTGCCCATTTTTATTTTCATTTTTAAAATTTTTAAATTATTTTATTTTATTTTTTATTTTTATTTTTGAGATGGAGTCTCTCTCTGTCTCCCAGGCTGGAGTGCAGTGACACAATCTCGGCTCACTGCAGCTTCCACCTCCCAGGTTCAAGTGATTCTTGTGCCTCAGCCTCCTGAGTAGCTGAGACTAGAGGCACGTACCACCATGCCTAGCTAATTTTTCTATTTTTAGTAGAGACGGGGTTTCACCATGTTGGCCAGGCTGGTCTCGAACTCTTGACCTCAAGTGATCCACCCATCTTGGCCTCCCAAAATTCTGAGATTAGAGATGTGAACCAACACAGCCAGCTCCATTTTAAAATAGAATTATGTTTTCTTGTTTGAGCTTCTTATATATTTTAGATATTAGCCCCTTATTAGATACATCATTTGCAAATATTTTCTCCCACTCCATAGGTTGTCTTTTCATTATTTTATTTGTTTCCCTGACTGTACAGGAGCTCTTTAATTTGATATAATCTCATTTATTTATATTTGCTTTTGTTGACTGTGCTTTTGAGGTCATATCCAAAAAATCATTGACCAGATCAATGTCATGGAGCATTTCTATGATTTCTTTTAGTAGTTTAATAGTCTTATGTTTAAGTCTTTAATGCATTTTGAGTTGATTTTTGTATATGGTTTGAGGTATGCATGTAATTTCGTTCTTCAACATGTGGATATTCAGTTTTTCAACACCGTTTATTGAAGAGACTGCCCTGTCCCCATTGTGTGTTCTTGGCACCTTTGTTGAAAATCAATTGATTGTAAATGTATGGATTGATTTTTACGCTATTTTGTTCCATTGGTTTTTGTGTCTGTTTTTATGCCAGTATCCTGTTGTTTTGATGACTATAGGTTCACAGTAGATTTTGAAGCCAGGTATTATGATGCCTCCCGTTTTTTTTTGTTTGTTTGTTTTTTGATTCAAGGTTACTTTGGCTATGGATTTTTGTGGATCCAGACAAATTTTAGAATCGTTTTTTCTATTTCTCTACAAAATGACATTGGTACTTGGATAGAGATTGCATTGAATCTTTATTTGGGGTAGTATAGGTATTTTAAAAATACTAATTTTCCCAATCCATGAACATGAGGTATTTTTCAATTTTTGTGTCTTTTGTAATTTTAAATATCAGTGTTTTATAGTTTTCAAGTGTACAAATCTTTCACCTCCTCGGTTAAATTTGCACCTAGTTATTTTAATTAATTTATTTTTTAATTATGATTGTTTACTTAATTTCTTCTCAGATGATTGTTAGTGCATAGAAACACTACTGATTTTTGTATATTGATTTTGTAACCTGTAACTTTACTGAATTTGTTTATTTGAATAGCTTTTTTTGTTGTTGGAGTTCTTAGGGTTTTCCAAATAAAGGATCATGTCATCAGAAGAGACAGTTTCACTTCTTCATTTCCAATTTGTATGCCTTTTTTTCTTTTTCTTGCCTAACTGCTCTGGCTAGGACATTCAGTACTATGTTGAACAGAAGTGGTGAGCGTGGGCATCTTTATCTTGTTCTGGATCTTAGAGGGAAAGCTTTCAACTTTTTATCATTATGATATTAGCTGTGGGCTTGTAATATATGGCTCTTATTGTGTTGGCAAAAATAGATTCTCAGAATATAATCTCCAGATTTTGTAATCCACTGATACAATTACATACTGATTACCTACTCTGTAATATGGAATTTAAAAAATTCCATGTGTGATTTTCTAACTCTATCATAGGTCGGTAACCTCTATACATCTGGAAAGGCTAGATGTGGCAAATGTTTCCTTGTAAAAGTTTTGGGGGAAGCTGAGAGCAGCTTTCTCACATTATACACGCAGGTCTCCTATAAACGCCGGTACATCCTCCCAAAGCGTGATGGGAATCTCCAAATCGCTAAATGTGTCCTGTTACTCCGTTTCTCTTTTCCCACATCAACGTCTGGTAGAAGGAAGGCCAACTGCCCCATGGTCGCTACCATTCCACCCGTCCTCATCCGGGACTTCGCTGACCTTCCGGCCGTTAAGGCTGTTGTCTGTTGTCATCAGGACCAGGTAGGTCTCACCCAATTGGGACAGAGAGGTCCCCCGAGGACAGCATCTGCGCGGCGCCGTGGCCTAAAGAGGAGGCCAGGCCTCTCCCTAACTCCGCCTTCGCGGGCCCTGCACCCCAGCAGCCTCTGCGTGTTTCTTCCCGCCCGGCACACCCGCGGCCATCCAAAGGTGCTGTGTGCCGGCGGCCACCAGGTCACCGAGGTGGGGTGGGGAAGACAGGTTCGCCGCTGCTTCAGGCCTGGGATCTCTGCTGGAACTCTCTACATTTTTTAATCAATTTAAAATTTATAATAATGTATGTTTTTTAGGTATTGTTTTTACTGACAAATTTTATTTCTAGATCTTTCATCAGTTTTCTCACGCTGGTCAACAAATAGGCCTTCATCACACACTAATTTGTAATGTCATTCTTTTCATATTTACTGTTGTAATGTAAAACACACTAGGGTCTGTTTTGAGGCAATGTTGTTTCAATCATATGCAAATCAAACTCTTTTTCTTTTTTGAGACAGAGCCTCACTCTGTCACCCGGACTGGAATGCAGTGGCACAATCTCTGTTCACTGCAGCCTCGGCCTCCCAGGCTCACGTAATCCTCCCACTACAGCCTCCCGAGTAGCGGGGACTACAGGCACAGGCCACCACGCCCGGCTATTTGTTTGTTTTTTGTGGAGACAGGGGTGTCTCACTCTGTTGCCCAGGCTGGTCTCCAACTCCTGAGTTCAAGCTATCCTCCTGCCTAGGCCTCCCAAAATGTTGGGATTACAGGCAGGAGCCACTGCTCTTGACCCCAAATCAAACCCTTAGTAATATTTGATAGTATTTCAGTGCTGGCCAGAGCAAATCCTTGCTTATTATTCGTTTATGAAAATGGCTTGACTCTTCTAAGCTGTAATTTGACCAAATAAATCTTGAAATAAATTTGTTACAATCCAAACACAATGCAGACAATTATTTGAAATGTCTGCATTTAAATTTATATTTAAAAGTTATTTTTTGAAGAATGTGGCATGTCTCATTTTATTTGTTTTTCCCTTTTTCTTGGTAAAGATTAATAATACCTTAAAAATGTTCAACATATGTTAAGTTCATCTTTATTGATATCATTTTATTTAATTGCTCATTGCTTATTGTTGTTAGGAGAGCTACATATGTATTTTTTAAATTAAATTTTTTTTTTTAACTTTTATTTTAGGTTTAGGGGTACATATGCAGGTTTGTTACTTGAGTAAATTGTGTGTTGCTGAGGTTTGGTGTTCAAATCATTTTGTCACCCAGATAGTGAGCATAGTACCCAATAAGTAGTTTTTCAATCCTCACCCTCCTTCCTCCTGCCACCCTCAGGTAGGCCCAGGTGTCTGTTGTTCCCCTCTTTGTGTCTGTGTGTACTCAATGTTTAGCTCATACTTATAAGTGAGAACATGTGGTATTTGGTTTTCTGTTTTTGCATTAATTCACTTAGGATAATGGCCTCCAGCTGCCATCCATGCTGTTGCAAGGGACATGATTTCATTCTTTTTATGGTTGCATAGTATTCTGTGGTGTATATATGTCACATTTTCTTTATCCAGTCCACCACTGATGGGCATCTAGATTGATTCTATGTCTTTGCTACTGTGAATAGTGCTGTGATGAACATGCGAGTGAATGTGTCTTTTTGGTAGAACAATTTTTATTTCTTTGGGTATATACCCAGTAATGGGATTGTTAGGTCAAATGGTAGTTCTGAGTTCTTTGAGAAATCTCTAAACTGTTTTCCACTGTGGCTAAACTAATTGAAATTCCCACCAGCCGTGTGTAAGTATTCCATTTTCTCTGCAACCTCACTAACATCTGTTATTTTTTGACTTTTTAATAATGTCCATTCTGACTGGTGTGAGATGGTATTTCATTGTGGTTTTGATTTGCCTTTCCCTAACGATTAGTGATACTGAGCATGTTTTCATATGCTTGTTGGACATGTGTATGTCTTCTTTTGTGAAGTGTTGGTTCATGTCTTTGCTCATTTTTAAATGGGGTTGTTTTTGCTTGTTGATTTGTTTAAATTTCTTATAGATTCTGGATATTAGACCTTTGTTGGATGCTTAATTTGCAAATATTTTCTCCTATTTTGTAGGTTGTCTGTTTAATCTGTTGGTAGTTTCTTTTGCTGTGCAGAAGATTTTAAATATTTATTCTGTATATTTCTTTTTCACGGAGTCTATAGGGATTTCTAATAACATAATTTTTTTGTGTTAAA
The DNA here is from genome assembly GCF_000001405.40 of Homo sapiens. Lineage (NCBI taxonomy): Eukaryota > Metazoa > Chordata > Mammalia > Primates > Hominidae > Homo > Homo sapiens. The sequence goes on from NT_167246.2 coordinate 303,847, forward strand.
AATGGAGTGGATTCTGTTATCTTAAAATAATGATAGTTTTCTTTCTTCTTATTTTTTGGGGGATATACCTGTATTTTTCAGCTAATGTAAAACAACAGAGTAGAAACTCTAGTTGATATTTGCTCTTAAGCATTTTAGTTCAGAGGGACTAAAAGCAAGGTGCAACAAATTAAGAAGTAATGAACAGTGTCTAATGAGAAAAATAGAGTGTGTTTTGAACTAGCCTAACCCAATTTGGTCATGCTCAGCAACAGGGTCATTTTTGGTAGTTAATCATAGTGGCTGAAAAAGGTGAAGTGGGCGTATGGTTAGCATTTACCACCACAATCCTATGTCCCAGTTATGATGAAAATGACTCTGATCAAATTCTGCCATGAATATAGAGATTAGTTAACCAGACATTAGCATAAGACAGTTTATGTCATCTTCTCTGTAAATTTAATAAATCCTCAGCTCTCTGCCCTTTAAAATACTCCAAAGTACCTTGTAGAAAGGTGTATTTGAAGAAGATAAGACAACAGAGGTAGGGTTTTACTTTCATGTCAGCATTGAGAAAGTGGAACTTATCCATAGTAGGACACAGGCCCATTTAGGGAACAAGTCTTGGGCACTACCCCTAAAGTTTAGGCTACACATCTTGCTAGGTTCTTATGCCCTTCATAGAAGAATAGGGAATGTTTCTAAAATATGTTAGATGACCCTCATATATTTGGTACCACTAATTTCAGGATGATAACTGATTTAAACCTCAATTATTATGTGAGTTGGCTAGGCATCAAATGTTGACCAAGAGGTAGATAACTGAAGGTCCTGTGGTAGCTGCCTTGGAGGGCAGCCTTTCTGGCTAAATGCTAGTTGACCTCCCCATCTAATAGTGTACATTTACTGATTAGAGCCACTCATGTCCATAAAATGTTATATATATATATATTTTTTTTTTTTTTTTGAGACGGAGTCTTGCTGTCTCCCAGGCTGGAGTGCAGTGTCATGATCTTGGCTCACTGGGCTCACTGCAAGCTCTGTCTCCCGGGTTCACGCCATTCTCCTGCCTCAGCCTCCCGAGTAGCTGGGACTACAGGTGCCCGCGACCACGCCCAGCTAATTTTTTGTATTTTTGGTAGAGACGGGGTTTCATCATGTTAGCTGTGATGGTCTCGATCTCCTGACCTCGTGATCCACCGCCTCGGCCTCCCAAAGAGCTGGGATTACAGGCGTGAGCCTCTGTGCCCGGCCCATAGAATGTAATATTTGAATGAATAAATGCACTTATATCAATAGCCTGACAAAGTGTTTTAAAGTATACTACAGTTACCATGACAAAGTGTTTCTCTGAAGAAACTTGTCTATGAAGAATAATGAGATTGGTAAGAAAACATAAATAAAAAGAACTACCAAGGAACATTTCCATCCAACTGATTTTAAAGAGAATAAATTGACCTGGAGTTAATTACCTAGTAGAATTAATTTCTACACAGTGATTTGGAATTTGGGAGTACAATTAGTGAAAACAGGTACTGGAATTGCTCCAGTGTTGGGAATGGACCCACATATTCATAAATGGGTACTTATTGGTACTAGAAAATTTTCTACACAATTACTCTACATTAAATATTACTCCAGGTTTTCAGGACATGGAAGTAGCTTCTTTTTAAAAAATCCTTTTCATGTTACTTCTCCACCTAGATAGTTTCAAAAAGTGTATTATTTTTCAATTTCAAAATTTTATTCATTGAAACATAAACTTGGTCAGTTCTATTCAAGACATCAATATAAAGAGAAATCACTGAATTGTAGAAAGGTTTGTATAAATTAAATTGTAAAAGTGTGAGCTAAAAATATGCATTATTAATACAGAAAGCTTCTTAGTAATAATACCAAATATGTGCTCCTTATAATCACATGGATCAAAATTGTATACTCTTTAGTTAAGGGATGTAATGGGGAAAAATAGAAGATTGGAATTGTTTTAATTGCATCTGTGTTCTGAGGAATGGAGCAGCAGCAGCAGAAGAAAAGGTGTTCTTTTACTTAAAACAACAAATTCTATTTTCTAATGCAAGGTGAGTGTATCTTTACCCCTTATTCTAGTGTTTATAGAAGATAGAGCCAGACAAATATTTCTCTCTAAGTGATAGTGACATTATTCCTTCACAGACACTACAGTTGAAAGAATTGGAGGTCCTAGGTCAGAGACAAAGACAGATTGGAATAGAAGTTGGGACCGAAAGTAAATAAGATCTTCCAAAACATGGAGCAAGGGGGACCTAAAAAAGCAGACATCCAGAGAGCAAAGCTCTGTGGTAGGGATTGCTAAGGAATTTTAAGAAGTCAAATATTCATTAGGCAATGTTTTCCTTTTTATCCTGCAGTATAATCCTCCTTTATTATTCCCAGTTCTTTATGAAAATCCCACTAACTGCATTCCCCACTTGTTAGTGGTACTTTAGAGAATAAAAGAAAATAGGCTTGGTTCACTGGCAAGAGGACAAGAAATAGTCTTTAAGTGGAGAAGAAGCTGTTTCGTACAGTAGAAATTGGTAAGGACAGTGGCCACAGGGACTCAACTGTGAGAGGAGGTTAAAAATTTATCAGGAGCAGTATTTTAAACAAAAATCCTCAAAAATAATAGAATCCTTCTCCCATAGAAAATAATTTTCAGAAATACAATGGAGAGTGTCAGAATTTCTTCAGAAAGTAGAAAGAATTTTAAAATTTAACTTATGCAGGTTGGGCACGGTGGCTCACGCCTGTAATCCCAGCACTTTGGGAGGCCGAGGTGGGTGGATTACCTGAGGTCAGGAGTTCGAGACCAGCCTGGCCAATATGGTGAAACCCTGTCTCTACTAAAAATACAAAAGTTAGCCGGATGTGGTGGCACACGCCTGTAGTCCCAGCTACTCGGGAGGCTGAGGCAGGAGGATGGCATGAACCCGGGAGGTGGAGGTTGCAGTGAGCTGAGATTGTGCCACTGCACTCCAGCCTGGGCGACAGAGACAGACTCCATCTCAAAAAAAAAATTAACTTATGTATTAATACAAAAACCAATATCAGAAATGCCAGAGACCTGGATGAACTGATATCTATAAAAGTGATAAAATGAATCAATGTACTTCAGTAAGTTGGGTACATATTTAGACTTATAAATTATCAGCATCTATACCCAGGTATTGCTTGAAAAATGTTACCAATTAATAATTAGCTTAATTTTTACAGCATGTTTGAAAATTTGATATGCCATATCATTTTTATGCAACATACTTCAATAATACATGTCAGTAAATTTATTTAAGATATAAATATTCATTGTAAAGTAGGTAAATGTATGTACTTGCAAAGATACCCAAACACATCAATTAAAATAATGGGATTAGAATTGGATAATAAGTGCATATATATGTATTTGACCTCTAGAGGTTCCTGTACTTCAAAATTCATCACTATATGACAATTGAGTATCATAGCATCTTCTGCTTGAATCCATTTATAAGTTTTTGTTTAAGAAATGAGAGAAAATTAATAATTGTTATGAATATAAACAGATACAGTAAAAATGGCATTTCATTTTCTCTAGATATTCGTGATTCTCTGAATTTGAATAATGTATTTTTTAGATTATAGTCTTCTAAAGAAGAGAAATATTGAAAGAATTAGCTATTTACTTGCACTGAGGGGAGTCATTATGTGCATTTTCTACTATGGTTTTCTTAGTCCACCACTCCTCAAGTTATGATGGTTGACTCAGAAGGGTTGCTTTTATCTTTAATCATAAATCATTATGAATTTCCTTGTCTGAACTAGTCAACATCTACCATGTTGTGGTTAATTGGTACCAATCAGAGTTGAACTTCTTGTGGAAGAATCTGGAGATGTCCATATGAAAGGAAAATAGGCAATAAACTAGATTGTATTATATTGCATTTTTCCAACACTAGGCATATGTGGTTTTGAAAATTACCTATTTACTGAGTGTTTTGTGAGTGGCAGAAACATTTTCCTGCCCTGGCCAAGGGCTAACCTTAGAAAAAGATAAATGTGATGGGTATAAAATCTAAGAGAGCTGACTTAGTTTCAGGATATTGTTAAGCCCGTTGAGACTGGTGCTCCACAACAGTAATTAAGCATAATTATGATGCAGGTCAAGGTAAGACATTTCCGAAATTTTCTAGGACATGTTTTTGAAGGCTTGGGATATTCTGCTTAGCTCATATTTGTGTATGTTTTTTTTAGTTAAAAATGATAACAAGATGATTTTTGCTCTGTTTACAAACATTTGCATGAACACTGAAAAATTCATCCAAATCGTTAAAAATATTCAATGCCTACTAAGAGTCATGGAACCCTATTATATGATGGTGAATCGAGAAAGAACTATACAAAATTATGCTTTCAAGAAACTTATAATTACATTGGCTAGAGGCTTATCAGTTCTATAAATAATATTTACAAAACAATGCAATTCTAACCTTCATAGAGATTTGTATGGCTTGTTAAGAGAACCATAGTCTAAGACAATGGGCTTCAACGGGGGGGCACACTCTGGGATGCAGAGACTTTTGTAGGGTTATAAAGTTAGTTTTAAGGAAATAACTTCCAGATCCTCCTTGTTCCTTTGTTTTCTTCGCTAACATTTTCTTGAGGAAATGCCAGGTTGAGGAGTTAGACAGGTTCTCTTTCCAGCCTTCACTTTCAAAGATCCCTTCTCCTCCTTCACAAAAGAAAGGCATAATTACCATCTCTCCTGATCTTACTGTAACATATTATCCACATTGTGAAAACCAGTGGTACACCAAAGAAAGGGACAACTCAAAATGCTAGTGGTGTGCTGCTCATCATTAAAGATGACATGATGGAAGAGAAAATATATATTTTTAGATTCTAGCAGTGTGTCTTTCTAGATCTATCTAGATTGGCTACTATTATTAAATAATGGGCACTTTTAGAGAAAGGTATCAGATCATGGCAAAAATAAAAGTTTAATTAAAAAGTAATCACATTGTCCCATAAAAGCTAAATATTATATTATGATAAATAGAAATAAAAAGATTTATTCTGTTATGCAATTCCACTACATATAAACATTACCACATTTCTAAAAATTCACGTAAATCCGCCAGTTCCACAGATGTATGTCAAAAGCCTAACTGGTTTCAAACTAGTCATATTATCTTTCCATTAAGTTGAGACAATCATGGAATAAACATTTAACGAATGAAAGAGAAATTGATAAGACTGTGTCATTACCTTTAAAACCCTTTAATTTGTGGCTTTATATTACGATAGAGTAGTAATAGACTTAAATAGCAGAGACCCTTTACTCAAGATATCGATTTGAAATTTCATTGAAAAAAGAGTGAATTGTTTTAAATGGGGCTTATGACAATTACTGTCTTATAAACTGCACTGTTTGCATCAAACACAAATAAATATTTGGGTGGCATTACAAAAGATTGGGTGTACAAAATCATTATTGTGTATATGTATATTTTTTCTCAAGCTCCAATAGAATGAACATTATGGGTATATTATTTAATATACACACCATAATGTATATGAAACCATTTGCTCAGGTCTATACTTTGGAAGAGGCAAGGATTAACATTGAAAATACAAAACTAGATAACCAAAACAGTTTCTATGTGGTTTTAGAATAAATTAAATGCATTCAAATTTATGTTTACATCCCATTTGTGTTTTATTTCAAGCAAAAATAAAATTTCTAATGATCTGTTTTCTCTGATGATATACCAATGATCAGGGACATAAAGGAGCTAAGTAGAATGGTTGTAATTTTGTTTGCATCTACAAAATGTTTGTATATAATAATTATATTTATGGATCTCCATGACCTAGGAATTACTTGCATTTGTAAAAATTAAAGAAAATTAGAAAACATATTTAATTGCCTTATTCACTCTAGTCTTTATCTATGACTTGCAATTCCTCTTTATTTTTGTAGATTTGTGGTGAAATCTCATCAGTTTCTTCAGGGCATCCTTCATGTCCTTATTTCTTAAGGTGTAAATGAGCGGGTTGAGACTTGGAGTGATGACGGTGTAAAAGAGGGTGAGGAACTTGCCCTGGTCTTTGGAAGCCCTGTTACCTGGTTGCAGGTACATGTAGATAATAGTTCCATAGAACATAGACACTACAGTAAGATGAGATCCACAGGTATTCATTGCTTTTCGCTGGCTTGCTTTTGACTTCGTTCTCAGCACAGCTTTGGCAATGTAGCCATAGGATATAAGAATAAGGATGAGAGGTGTGAGGACAATTATAATGCCTAAAGCGAAAACAGACATTTCAACTGTTGTGGTGTCTACACAAGCTATCTTGACCAGAGCTGGCAACTCACACAAGAAATGATCCAGAATGTTGTTTCCACATGTGGGCAAATTCAGAGTGAGTGTACATAATACTACAGAATTGGCCAAACTAATACTCCAGATCATGATAATCATCTTTAGACATAGATGTGGGTTCATGACTACAAAATAATGCAAGGGCTTACATATAGCTGTAAAACGATCATAGGACATAACAGCCAGGAGAAGGCACTCAACTGAGCCCAACCACATGTAAACATAGAGTTGGATGATACAACCCACATAGCTGATGGTCTTATCAGGTCCCCACAAGTTGACCAGCATCTGAGGGATGATGCTGGTTGTGAAACATAGATCTAGGAAAGATAAATTTCTGAGGAAAAAGTACATTGGTGTATGAAGCTGGGAATCCAGGAGAGATGCAAGAATGATGGCTGTGTTACCCACCAATGTAATTAAGTAGAAGATGGCGACAACTCCTGACAGGATCATCTCCATTTTTGGATGGTTAGAGAAGCCAAGCAGAATAAAACCATGTAAAGAACTATAATTGCTTTGGTCCATAGTCCTTCAATGTCTAAATCCTAGAGTGAGAAAAGGAGGAGGAGGAGGTAGATGATGATACAAGGATAAGGAGAAGGAAGAAGAAGGAAGAAGAGGTAGAGGAGGAGAAGGAGGAGGGAGAGGAAGAAGAAAAGGAAAAGAGGAAGAAACAATTTGTCAACATGAACTATCTAAATAATTTGATAAAATTAGAACTAAACAAAGAGAGATAATTTATGTTACTAATTGAAAAAATTTAATGGATAAAAGTAAAAATTACAGCCAAGAAATCTGCTATTTGTCATAGATTCTTTTATGGCAATGAGTTTAATATTAGATTTTTTAAAAAAAATCCAGGTGACCTTGGGGAGTTCACTTTTAAACTTGAGGTCTGAATTATCTAACGTGTAGATTTGAAAGTTTGAAATAGATGCTGGTTCTAAAATGACCCTATGATTCTTTATAAGCTAGTTAGCTTGATAAAATGAACATATTCTTTTATTTGATCAGTAAATTCACCTATAAAATTTAAGTACTGGGCTAATGGTAGGATGAGGAAAAGATGTGATAACCTGGAGGATGAACCTGGGGACATCATGCTAACTGAAGTAAGCTGAAAGACAAATATTGCATGATTTCATTTATATATGGAATCCAAAAAAGTTGAACTCATAGAGGTAGAGAGTGGGGGCAGGAGATGGATGGGAAAAGGGGAGATGTTGATCAAGGGTACTAAGTTTCAGTTAGAAAAAAGGAACCAGTTTTAGTGATCTCACAGAATGGTGACTACAATAAACAATAATGCATTGTTTATTTCAAAATTACTAAGAGTAGATTTTAAGTGTTTTCACCACAAAAAATAAGTATGTTAGGTGATGGGTTTGTTAATTAGCCTGATTTAATCATTACACATTATAAACATATATTAAAACATTATATTGCACCCCATAAACATATACAATTGTTGCTTAATTAAAAATAAACCTTAAAAAAGAGTGAGGAAAGATTGTTCTTCTTTTTTCATATCTTAGTGACTAAGCACCTTTGATCTCCTAGTTTGTTATGTAGGACATCTGGTGTTTACCCTTGGACGCCTTGTCTCTCTCATTCTTAACGCCTTATCACCAAAACTGGTAAATTTGGATGCAAATATATATGCTAATTATCCTATCACTTTAAAAAATCCCTACCACCACAACCCTAATTCAAATCACTATGATTTCTTTTCTGGATTCTGGCAATAGTCTTGCATCCAGTCCTTGCATCCAGTCTTATGCCTTTACATTGTTACAACATTTGATGAAATCATGTCATCCATCTCCTTAAAACTTGTCAGCCACTTTACACTACATTTAAGAAATACTATATTGTATACTTAAAATTTTGCTAGGAGGGTAGATCTTATGTTAAGTGTTCTCATCACACGCACACACATACACAACACAATAAAGAAGGTGGGAGGAAACTGTTGGAGGTGATGGATGTATATATGGGATAGATTGTGTTGATGGTTTCACAGGTATATACTCACCTTCAAACTCATCAAGTTGTATACATTAAATCTGTACTGCTTTTGTATGTCAGTCATACTTCAATAAAGTGGTCAAAAAGCTAATATAAAACATTTGGTTAAAAAATAACAGCCATTAGCCAGGTGTGGTGGCGTACTCCTATAGTCCCAGCTACTCAGGAGGCTGAGGCGGGAGGATCACTTGAGCCCAGGAGTTTGAGGTTGCGGTGAGCTATGATTGCACCACTGCACTCCACCCTGGGTGCTGGAGCAAGATCCTGTCTCAAAAACAAACAAAACCCAGATAAATATCAAACTGGTGCTTCTTCTCTCTCTTTATATAGATGTAGTACAAAAAGTTGTGCTTTTTTTGTTTGTTATGCCATTTCAAATATGTTTTTTTGAATGTTATTAAGAAATTACTTCCAACTGTGGCCATGATTCAAAAGTGGATACATTTGTGAGACTAACCGGAGATGGTGGTTGAAATAGCCGTTTTGAGAAAATCATTTTGTGATTTCTTTAGCATTAGCTTTTCAAAAATTATGATTTGATTCTGAGTTTTGCCATTAATCAAATTGGATAGAAAGAAAAATAATTCTCTGAAAGATATTTCAAGCTGTCACACCCCATTAAAGTTCCATAATGTCTGAGCAGGGGCATCAATAATTAATGCTTATTTATTTTAACAGACTCGTTGATGTGTATAATTGTGCCTAACTTCTGAATAAAATAGGGCTTCAGTTAAAATTATATAAAAACCTGAAAATTCTTTTAAAATTAAAATCAATATTATGCTGTTAATTTCTTAACTATTTCATTATTACTACAGTCCATAAAGATTAACTCAGGAAAGAATAAAAATCCTCCTTCTGCCTATTAAAAAGTGACATAGAAAAATCTTCAAATAAATTTTCATGCACAGTATGAGATTTAGAAATGGATACATAAAATCTGAGTCCTTTATGGCTCCACAACCTTCAAGAATAAAATATTTTGCTGACAAGTTTCACAAATGGCATTAAAAAACAAAACAAAACAAAATTAAAAACAAGTATCTGAATTCTTCATTTTCAATTTAATCTATCTTTCTCGCTTTTGTTTCTGCTGGATCAATATTTATTCTCAGACTTCTGAAATAAAACCAGCCCATACAGATCTAAGTTCTTTTTCTTCTACTTTCTACAAATTGTTTTACCAATCCAGGCATACTGTTTCTCCAAGAGATTAAGGATGAACATTACTGTGATCCAGAGGGAGTTCCTTTGCCATTCTACTTCTCGACTTTTGTAGAATCCACACTATGGAAAATAGATCCCGGTTAAGCATTTTTTTCTCCAGGGCTGTAAATTTCTCATGATTTCCCTGCAGTGCCACGGAGAATTCTGCTTTTCCCAAAGTGTGTTAGGGTAGAGATTCTCAACAGGACTCCTCCTTCTCGAATATATGACTTCAAGTAAGAGGATGAAACCTGTCACAAATTCTTACTTCTTGTTCTGAGTTTAAATCAACCTGCAAGTAGGTCTTGACCATAGAGAAACATTAGGAAAAGCAACCGGATAATTCAGAATCAGAATTGAACAAAATTTCCCAGTATTACCTGAAGACTCAGATAATCAAAAAGATTATCTAAACCATTGGGACTGCATCCAATTAACTTTACTAGAGTACAGTGTCATAGAAAATGCCAGCCTAGAATTAGACCATACCCTAATATTTCACTAGGGCAGGTTTAGTAGATGTAAAAGTTATTTAATATGAAGGAAAACTATAGGACAAAGAAATAAGAAAATGTATTTTCATATTTTTTTGGTTGTGAATGTATTATAATATAAAATTTACTCTTAAATAATGTAGATTTCCAACACTACAATTATACTTAGCTACAGAAAAATCTTACCATTCAAAGCACAAATATTGATTGTGGAACTAAACTTGCTCTGAGCAGATATCATTTAAATGAGGTACCTCTAGTGGTTATCTCTGATACCCATGGTCAGAACAGTTGTATTTGAAAGAGATGTTTAATCCCCAAAGCTCTAAACAGTAAGACCAGAATCATAAGATTTACATTTTTTCTCAGTTGTTTTGGTGACCATGAGGGATGATTCAAATACTTCATTGTCTACGACAATTAGTTTTGTTATTGTCTCAGAGGTCACTATTTACACATTAAATTCTAGAGTAAGTATATACTATGAAAATTTTTGTGAGTTGGCTTATAATCATAGGTTTTAACAGCTTCCTTAAATTAAAATTACATATCAGTAATAATTGGTTTTAATAAAATACATAAGCACGAATTGGCTGCCTCATGATACATGTTCAAATGTGGATGACATTACTGATCAATAAAATAATTTTAACTATCTGCTTCTGTACGATAATCAATATATTTTACACTTGAGATATAGTATAGTGTAATGGTTAGATGGATAGATTGTGGAGCCAGACTTTCTGGGCTGAAATCCTGGTGGCTACAGTTACCAGATGTGTGAACTTGGGAAAATTACTTAACCTTCATTGCCTCCGATTTCTTATCTATAATAGGGGATATTATAATACATAATTTAAAGGGCGAATGTAAGGATTCAATAAGTTTAACATATGTAAATACTACAGTACTGGTTGGCACACAGCATCCAAATAAGTATTAACTGTTACAATTTCAATCAGTTCAGGGTGTCTGTGTGCTGCAGAAATATTTGGGGAAAGTTTATGCTGATATTTGATAAAACATCTGGAAAATACTCTCCTTATAAGCACTTCCTTTAGGATTTTATATATAATACACACATATATGAAATATATATACTATATACATAGTATATACATATGTATGTGTATGTATTCTTTATAAATGCTATAATAATGATGATAAAAAGAAACATAACATCTACTAATGGTACATTTTTGTCTATCAAGATTCTAAACATCTGAATACTTGAAACTGTTCACTTTGACTGGAGATCTCAGTTTCACTTATGTATTTTTCTCTTCCCCTTTAGTCAAATTTTCTACAGTTCTCCTTTTTCTTTTAAAAACCACTTTAAAGTTATAATTGAATTTCACAATTTCAATTCAACCATAGCAAATATTCAATTTTCATTTGAAAAACAAAAATGTATATAAATTGTCATGCCCACCCATGTTTCTGGTTTAAATACATTCCTACACAGTGACTTTTCTAGTCCCTTGCTCCTTATTCTGTGATTAAAATCCATGGGTTTGTTACTCTGGAGAAATTATAGAGAAATCCTTTGGATTTTTGAATTAATTTTTAAAAAGGTTTTCATTTGTTATCAAAAAATGGATATACCCAGCTTGTAAAGCAGATGCCCTTGCCTTAAACTTTAATATAAGACCTTTCCATACCCCTTTGAATAAATCAAGACATGTTTTCCTGTTTCCTTTTTATTTAACAATTTTTTCCCTTGCTTACTTTAGCCCTTAACTTATGGAAACCATTTAAAGTGAAGTTATTAGCAGTGCTTCCACAACTGGCCGCATATCAGAGTAACTGTATTGGCTGGCATATGTAGAAATTTTAGAAATACAGTGTCCTGAGATTCCTATGCCCTTGCCAAAGGCTCAATTCTTTTCTGTTTATACTGTGTCCCTAGATAGAATCTTAGAGTTTTAAGGATTTGAATCCCATCTACATATTGATGGCTTTCAAGTGTCTATTTCCAGTCTTCTACATTGAGCATGGAATAGGTAGTTCCAACTGCCTAATTTCATGCACAAAATTATGAGTCTAAACATAGCTAAAATAGATCTCTTGATTGCACTGAATCTGCTCTCATTCCAGTCTTCCTCATTGTAGTAAATGATATAAACATGTACCTATTTCTGGCCAGAAACCAGTAATTAAGGAGTTATCCTTAATTACTAGCCTGCCCTCATCTTGAAAATCTGAATGATTCCAAGCTCGACTTCTCTCCATTTCCAGAATGACTAACAAACTGGGCCACCCTATTTTTCCTGGATTACCCAATGGATTACTATCTTGTTTCTCTGCTTTAATTCATTCCCCTTTCAATCTATTCTCCATATGGCGGCCAAAAGCGTTCTTTAAAAAAACCACACGTTGGCTGGGCGCGGTGGCTCACGCCTGTAATCCCAGCACTTTGGGAGGCCGAGGCGGGCAGATCACCTGAGGTCAGGAGTTCGAGACCAGCCTGATAAACATGGAGAAACCCCGTCTAACAATACAAAATCAACAATACAACAATACAAAATTAGCCGGGTATGGTGGCGCATGCCTGGAATCCCAGCTACTCTGGAGGCTGAGACAGGAGAATCGCTTGAACCCGGGAGACAGAGGTTGCTGTGAGCCGAGATCGCACCATTGCACTCCAGCCTGGGCGACAGAGCGAGACTGTGTCTCGAAAAAACAAAAAACAAAACCCAAGAAAACCAAAACCACAAATCAAGTATTTCCATTTGCCAATTTGAAATCTTTTTAGACTTCCTATGCACTTAACTATAAAATTCAGACTCCTTACCAAGAACTACCAGATGCACCTTGCCTGGCTCCTTTTCATCCCTCCCTCCTTCTCCCATTCGTCTCATGCCTTTGTCATTCCAGGGTTGCAGGTGTTAAAGTGTCTTTGCATTGAATTTCATTGGCCTGGCAGATTCTGTCCCCAAATTGAACTCCTTGTTTGTAATCGTTTTTCAGATATAATCTATTCAACGAGATCTTCCTTGACTACTTAATCTAAATTAAAATCCCTCCTCCCCAGCTAATCTCTATCACATTTCCATGTGTTTTTCGTAGCACTTATCACTCTAAATTTTGTTTTTTTTAAATGTATCTCCCCACAATTAAAACCTAAGATCCAAACGAATATGGATCTGATCCCCCTTTTTTGCCACGTAACTGAATGAATCAATTCAACAAATTTGATTAGCAATAGAAATATAGCAAACAACTAAATAGACAAAACAGTAAAGTCCCTGACTTAATGGAGCTTACTTTTATTTGTGAAAACAAGCTCATCAGCCAAATTATATATAGTGTTTTATTTGTTCATTGCTTTTTTTTTCTTTCTTTTTTTATATAACATCCCACCAAATAGAAACATTCTCTCTTTAGGAATAGTGTTCCGTGTAGATGTTGATTTCTTACTATGCAATTTTACGGACATTGTCTTCCAATATTTCCGTAGACTAATTGGTCAGGACCTGATAGCCCTGTGATAATGCTGCACTCAGCATTCCTTGATGATGCTATATTAGCTTCCAGTGGCTGTTTGGTGCCTGGAAGGGAGTCTAGCATGTAACAGGGATCAATAATTGTTTGTTGACTATAAAGCAGTTAGAACAATATCTGATGTGTATATTAAATATCCCATTCAGTCAAGGTTATCTAGGGTGATATATTCAAGAAATATAATGCTAACTCATTTATGTGGTGATGGAGATCCGTGTTTAATGATATTGATCATCAAATAGCCTGGATAAAGAGTATGTTCCCAGAAGAAAGAGATTTCTGAGACTGCTTTTATGTTATCCTTTACATTTCTATTTTTTGACTCTTTTTTTTTTGGCTTTTGGCTTTTGGGTCTCACTCTGTCACCCAGGCTGAAGTATAGTGGTGTGATCATGGCTCATTTTGGCCTCAAACTCTTGGGCTCAAGCAATCCTCCCATTTCAGTCTTTCCAGTCACTGGGATTAATGGTGTGTGCCACAAAACTTGGCTCTGTTTGATTTTTTTTTTTTTGGTGGACCATATATTTTACCAAAATATCTGAAATATTGTAAATGATATTTTTTGAAATATCGGAAAATATTTTTGGTATATTTTGGGGAAAAATACAAAACCAAAACAATCTACCTATTTACCTTCTCGTGAACTTATGAAATCAAATATTTTAAGCCTTATTTTCCCCAAACCGTATATGATTCTCTCAATAGTTGCAGAAAAATCTTCTGATAAAATCCAACACCTCTTCATGTTAAAACCCTCAATAAACTAGGTATCCAAAGAACATACTTCAAAATAATAAAAGCCATTTATTTCAGTCCCACAGCCAACATCATACCAAATAGGTAAAAGCTGGAAGCATTCCCTTTAAGAACTGGAATAAGACAAGAATTCTGACACTACTCTTATTCAACGTAGTACTGAAAATCCTAGCCAAATAAATCAGGCAAGAGAGAGAAATAAAAAGCATCCAGATAGGAAAAGAGGAGTCAAATTATGCTATGATTCTATGACTAGAAAACCCCAAAGACTCTGCCAAAAGGCTTCTAGACCTGATAAAACAACTTAAGTCAAGTTTGAAGATACAAAATCAATGTAAAAAATCAATAGCATTTCTATACACCAATAATGTTCAAGCTGAGAGCCAAATCAAGAATGTAATTCCCTTTAAAATACACACACACACACACACACACACACACACACACACACACAAAATCTAGGAATACTTCTAACCAAGGAAGTGAAAGATTTCCACAAAAAGAACTACAAAGCACTGCTGAAAGAAATCATAGATGACACAAACAAATGGAAAAACCTTCCATGCTTATGGATTGGAAGAATCAACAACATAAACAAAATGTCTAAATTTTACCGCCTAAAGCAATCTACAGATTCAACACTATTCCTATTAAATTACCAACGTCATTTTACACAGAACTAGAAAAAATGATTCTAAAATTACACGGAACCAAAAAAGAGCCCAAATAGCCATAACAATCCTAAGCAAAAAGAGCAAAACTGGAAGCATCACATTACTGGACTTCAAACTATGCTACAAGTCTACAGTAATCAAAACAGCAAGGTACTGGCACAAAAATAGGCACCTAGACCAATGGAACAGAATAAAGAACCCAGAAATAAAGCAGCATACCTACAACCAACTGATCTTGAACAAAGTCGACAAAAATAAGTAATGCAGAAAGGACTCCCTATTCCATAAATGGTCCTAGGAAAACTGGCTAACTATATTCAGAAGGATGAAACTTAACCCTTACCAAGCACCATATACAAAAATTAATTCAAGAAAGATTAAAGACTTAAATGTAAAGCCCCAAACTATAAAAATCCTGGGGAAAAAACTCAGAAATACCCTTTTGGACATTGGCCTTGGCAAAGAACTTATGACCAAGTCCTCAAAAGCAATTGCAACACACAAAAAATTGACAAATGGGACTTAATTAAACCAAAGAGCTTCTGCACAGCAAAAGTACCTATCAACAGAATAAACAGACATCTTACAGAATGGGAGAAAATATTTGCAAACTATGCATCTGACAAAGGACTAATATCCAGAATCTATAAGGAACCTAAACAAATCAACAAGAGAAAAACAAATAACCCCATTAAAGAATGGGCAAAGAACATGAATGGACAATTCTCAAAAGAAGACATAAAAGCAGCTAACAAACATATAAAAAATGCTCGAACACTAATCATTAGAGAAATGCCACTCAAAACCACAATGAGATACCATCTTGCACTAGTCTGAATGGCTATTACTAAAAAGTAAAATAATGACAGATATTGATGAGGCTGCAGAGAAAATGGAACACTTTTATACTGCTGGTGGGAATGTAGATTAGTTCAGCCACTATGGAAAGTAGTTTGGGAATTTCTCAAAGAACTGAAAATAGAATTACCATTCAACCTAGCAATTCCATCACTGGGTATGTGCCTCCCACCCAAATAAATTGTTCTACCCAAAAGACACATGCATTCACATGTTCATTGCAGCACTATTCACAATTGCAAAGACATGGAATCAAGCTAGGTGCCCATTAATGGTGGATTGGATAAAGAAAATGTGGTACATATACAACATGGAATGCTACACAGCCATAAAAGAGAACGAAATAATGTCCTTTGAAGCAATATGGATGCAGCTGGAGGCCATTATCCTTAGCAAATTAATGCAGAAATAGAAAACCGAACACCACATCTTCTCACTTGATTTAAAATTTAAGGAGATAAATCCTGGGTACATACAGACATAAAGATGGAAACAGTAGACACTAGGGATTCCAAAAGGAAGGAGAGGAGGAGAGGAGCAAGGACTGAAAAATTTCCTATTGTATACTATATTCACTGTCTGGGTGACAGGATTAATATAAGCCCAAACCTCAGCATCACACAATATACCCTTGTAATAAACCTGCCCATGTATCCCCCTGAATCTAAACTAAAAATAGAAATTTAAAAAACCCCTTTTTCATAGTAATCATAAAATATACACTTATGCAATTTATGAAAATAATATAGTTTTACCTCTGTTCTTTTCACTGCAGCTTTGTGAAGGTATAATTAACAAGTAAAAATTGCATACACTTACTATGTGTATGATGTTTTGACATATGTATATATTGTGAAGTGATTACCACAAACCAGCTAATTAACCTATCCATCAGCTGACATATTTTTTCTTGTTTTGTGGTGAGAATATTTAAGATCTACTCTCTTAACAAATTTCAAATATTAAATACTGTATTGTTAACTATATTCACCATGCTGCATATTAAATCCCCAGAACTTGTTCGCCTTATAACTGAAAGCTTGTACCTTCTGACCAACATCTCCCTATTTTCCCCTCCCCCAGCTTTTGGAAACCACCATTCTAATTCTATTCTCTGTTTCTGTGAATTCAGCTTTTTAAGATTTCATGTATAAGTGAGTTCATATCGTATTTGTCTTTCTCTGATTCATGTATTTTACTAAGCATAATGCCAACAAGGTTGATCCATGTTGTTGCAAGTGGCAGAATTTCCTTCTTTTTGATGGATGCTTGGTTTGTTTCCAAGTGTTGGCTAATGTGAATGATGCTACATTGAACACAAGAGTGCATATATCTCTTTGACATACTATTTTCGTTTCCTTTGGGTATATACCCAGCAGTGGGATTGCTGGATAAGATGGTAGCTCTAGTTTTGATTTTTGAGGAACCTCCATACTGTTTTCTAAAATGGCTGTTCCAATTTACATTCCCACCAGTAGTGCATAAGGATTCCCTTTCTTTCTGAATCCTTGCCAATACTTGTTATCTCGTCTCGATAATAGCCATCCTAACATGTTGGCTGATCTCATTGGGGTTTTAATTTTCATTTCTCTCATGAATAGTGCTGTTGAGCATTATCATTATTTCACGTATCTGTTGGCCATATGTATGTCTTCTATTGAGAAATGTCAGCTCAGGTCCTTTGGCCGTTTAAAAATCAATTTATTGTATTATTTTTGCTATGGAGTTGTTTGAATTCCTTGTATTTTTTGGATATTAACTCCTTATCAGATTTGTGAGTTACGTAAGATAATGGTTCAATTTTATTATTTTGCATATAGATACTAAGTTTTCCCAGCACCATTTATTGAATCAAGTATCCTTTCTCCTGTATATTCTTGACACATTTGTCAAATATTAGTTAGTTGACCATATATGTGAGGATTTATTTTTGGGGACTTGATTCTGTTCCATTGGTTTGTGTGTCTGCTTTTATGCCAGTATCATACAGTTTTGATTCTTATGGTTCTGTAATATGGTTTCAAGTCAGGAAATGTGATGCCTCAGCTTTTCTGTTGTTGTTGTTCAAGTTGTTTTGGCTATTTATGTTTTTTTGTGGTTCCATACATATTTTAGAATTTTTCCTCCAATGCTGTGAAAAATATCATTAGAGTTTTGATAAGAATTGCATTGAATCTGTCAATTACTTTGGGTATTATGGACATTTTAGTAGTATTAATTCTTCTATTCCATGAGCATGAAATATTTTAAACATTTATTTGTATTTTCTTCAATTTATTTCATCAATATTTTATAGTTTTAAGTGTAAAGATTAATCACTTCCAGGGTTAAATTTATTTCTAAATATTTTATTCATTTTGATGATACTGTAAATGGCATTTGTTTTTCCAGATAATTCAGTGTTACTGTACAGAAACACAATTATTTTATGGCACATGTATACATATGTAACTAACCTGCACAATGTGCACATGTACCCTAAAACTTAAAGTATAATAAAAAAAAAAGAAACAATTATTTTTTCCATTGACAAATAAAAATTGTATTTCTTTACAGTATACAATCATGGTGTTTTGATATATGAATACATTGTGGAATGGCTAAGTTAAGCTATTTAACATATTTATTACCTCCTTTTTTGTGATGAGAATATTTAAAATATAATATTTTGGCAATTTTTAAGAATACAATATATTGTTATTAAGTATGGCCATCATGATGTACAATAGATCACTTGAATTTATTCCTCCTAACTGAAATTTTGTATCCTTTCACTAAGATCTGTCTGTATTCCCCACCCCCCAGCCTCTGGTAAGCACCATCTTACTCCGTTTCTGTCAGTTTAACTGTTTTAGATTCCATTTGTTTCTCTGTGTCTCACTTATTTCACTTAATGTCCTCCAGGAAATACATGTTATAATTAATGGCAAGCTTTCTTTCTTTTTTAAAATTACTGAATAGTATTCTATAGTGTATATAAACCACATCTTCTTTATCCATTTTTTGTTGATGGACACTTAGGTTGATTTTTGCTATTGTGTATATTTTTGCTATTGTGTATATTTTTGCTATTGTGTATAATGCTGCAATGAACATGGGAGTGAGATATCTTTTCAAATAAGGCTTTCTTTGGGTATATATCCAGAACTGGGATTCCTGGATCATATGATATTTCTATTTTTAATTTTTTGAGGAACCCCCTTACTATTTTCCATAAAGGCTATACTAATTTATATTTCCACCAATAGAGTGCAAGGGTTTTCTTTCTCTGCATCCTCTCCAACATTATCTTTTATTTTTTTTGATAATAGCCATTCTAACATGTGTGAGGTGATCTCACTGTGGTTTTAATTTGCATTTTTCTAATGATTGGTGATGTTGAGCATTTTTTATATACCTGGCCATGTCTTTGAGAAATGTCTATTCAATCATTTGTCCAATTTTTCATTGGGCTGTTAGTTTTCTTACTACTGAGTTGTTTGAGTTCCTTATTTATTTTGCATATTAAACACATCAGATGTATGGTTTGCAAATATTTTCTACTAATATTTCTTTGGGTTGTCTATTCACTCTGTTGATTGTTTCCTTTTCTGTGCAGAAGCTTTTTAGTTTGATGTAATTCTATTTGTCTATCTTTATTTTTGTTGCGTGTGCTTTGAGGATCACCTAAAAAAACCATTGCTCAGGCCAATGTCATGGAGGTTTTCCCCTATGTTTTCTTCTTGTAGTTTTAAAGTTTATGGCATTATGTCTAACCTTTTAGTTAATTTTGAGTTGAGTTTCGTAGGTGGTGTGAGATGAGGGTCTAATTTCATTCTTCTGCAGGTGGACATCCAGTTTTCCAAACACCATTCATTAAAGAGACTGTTCTTTTCTCATTATGTGTTTTTGGCACTTTTGTTGAAAATCAGTTGGCTGTAAATACTTGGATTTATTTCTAGGTTCCTTATTCTATTGTATTGGTCTATGTGTCTCTTTTTATGCCAGTACCATACTGTTTTTATTACCATAGCTTTGTAGTATATTTTCAAATTAAGTACTATAATGCCTTCAGCTTTGTTCTTCTTGCTCAAGATTGCTTTGTCTGTTTAGAGTCTTTTGTGATTCCACATAAATTTTAAGATTGTTTCTCTATTTCTACGAAAAATGTCATTGGAATTTTGATAAGAACTGTATTGAATTTATTGATTATTTTGGGTAGTATGAACATTTTAGCAGTTTTAGTTCTTCCAATCCATGAACAAGGAATTTTTTCATTTATCGTCTTCAATTTCTTTTACCAATGCCTTACAGATTTCACTATACATATCTTTCACCTCTTTGGTTTAATTTATGCCTGAGCATTTTCATGTTTTGAAAATAGGATTGTTTTATTGATTCTTTTAAAAATAGTTTGTTGTTAGTGTAACACTACTTTTTTAAAAAAATATAAATTAAGTTCTAGGATACACGTGCAGAACATGCAGGTTTGTTACACAGGTATAAATGTGCCTTGGTGGTTTGTTGCACTGATCAACCCATCATCTACATTAGGTGTCTCTCCTAATGCTAGCCCTCTCCTAGCCTCCCACCCACTGACAAGCCCCAGTGTGTGATGTTCTCCTCCCTGTGTCCATGTGTTCTCATTATTCAACTCCAACTTATAAGTGAGAACATGCGGTGTTTGATTTTCCGTTCCTGCGTTAGTTTGCTGAGAATGATGGTTTCCAGCTTCATCCATGTCCCTGCAAAGGACATGAACTCATCATTTTTTATGGGTGCATAGTATTCCATGGTGCTTATGTACCACATTTTCTTTATCCAGTTTATCATTGTTGGGCATTTGGGTTGGTTCCAAGTCTTTGCTATTGTGAACAGTGCTGCAATAGACAAACGTGTGCATGTGTCTTTATAGTAGCATGATTTATAATCCTTTGGGTATATACCCAGTAATGGGATAGCATGATTTATAATCCTTTAGGTATATACCCAGTAATGGGATTGCTGGGTCAAATGGTATTTCTGGTTCTAGATCCTTGAGGAATCGCCACACTGTCTTCTACAATGGTTGAACTAATTTACACTCCCACCAACATCGTAAAAGTGTTCCTATTTCTCCACATCTTCTCCAGCATCTGTTGTTTCCTGACTTTTTAATGATCACCATTCTAACTGGTGTGAGATGGTATCTCATTATGGTTTTGATTTGCATTTCTCTAATGACCAGTGATAATGAACTTTTTTTCATATGTTTGTTGGGCACATAAATGTCTTCTTTTGAGAAGTGTCTGTTTATATCCTTTGCCCACTTTTTGATAGGGTTGTTTGATTTTTTTCTTGTAAATTTAAGATACTTGTAGATTCTGGATATTAGCCCTTTGTCAGATGGATAGATTGCAAAAATTTTCTCCCATTCTTTAGGTTGCTTGTTCATTCTGATGATAGTTTCTTTTGCTATGCAGATGTTCTTTAGTTTAATTAGATCCCATTTGTTGATTTTGGCTTTTGTTGCCTTTGCTTTTGGTGTTTTACACATGAAGTCTTTGCCCATGCCTATGTCCTGAATGGTATTTCCCAGTTTTCTTGTAGGATTTTTATGGTTTTAGGTCTTACATTTAAGTCTTTAATCCATCTTGAGATAATTTTTGTATAAGGCGTAAGGAAGGGTCCAGTTTCTGTTTTCTGCATATGGCTAGCCAGTTTTCCCAACACCATTTATTGAATAGGGAATCCTTTCCCCATTGCTTGTTTTTGTGAGGTTTGTCAAAATCAGATGGTTGCAGATGTGTGGTGTTATTTCTGAGGCCTCTCTTCTGTTCCATTGCTCTATATATTTGTTTTGGTACCAGTACCATGCTGTTTTGGTTACTGTAGCCTTGTAGTATAGTTTGAAGTCAGATAGCGTGATGCCTCCAGCTTTGTTCTTTTTGCTTAGAATTGTGTTGGCTATACAGGCTCTTTTTTGGTGCCATGTGAAATTTAAAGTAGTTTTTCTAATTCTGCGAAGAAAGTTAATGGTAGCTTGATTGGGATAGCATTGAATCTATAAATTCCTTTGGGCAGTATGGCCATTTTCACGATATTGATTCTTCCTATCCATGAACATGGAATGTTTTTCCATTTGTTTGTGTCTTCTCTCATTTCCTTGAGCAGTGGTTTGTAGTTCTCCTTGAAGAGGTCCTTCACATCCCTTGTAAATTGTACTCCTAGGTATTTTATTCTCTTTGTAGCAATTGTGAATGAGAGTTCACTCATGATTTGGCTATTTGTTTGTCTATTACTGGTGTATAAGAATGCTTGTGATTTTTGCATGTTGATTTTGTATCCTGAGAGTTTGCTGAAGTTGCTTATCAGCTTAAGGAGATTTTGGGCTGAGACGATGGGGTTTTCTAAATATGTAATCATGTCACCTGCAAACAGAGACAATTTGACATCCTTTCTTCCTATCTGAATACCCCTTATTTCTTTCTCTTGCTTGATTGTCCTGGCCAGAACTTCCAATACTATGTTGAGTAGGCGTGGTGAGAAAGGGCATCTTTGTCTTGTGCTGGTTTTCCAAGAAAATGCTTCCAGCTCTTGCCTATTCAGAATGATACTGGCTGTGGGTTTGTCATAAACAGCTCTTATTATTTTGAAATATGTTCCATCAATACCTAGTTTATTGAGTGTTTGTAGCATGAAGGGGTGTTCAATTTTATTGAAGGCCTTTTCTGCATTTATTGAGATAATCATGTGGTTTTTGTCGTTGGTTCTGTTTATCTGATGGATTACGTTTATTGATTTGTGTATGTTGAACCAGCCTTACATCCCAGGGATGAAGCTGACTAGCTCATGGTGAATAAGCTTTTTGATGTGCTGTTGAATTGTTTGCTAGTATTTTATTGAAGATTTTCACATCAATGTCCATCAGGGATATTGGCCTGAAATTTTCTTTTTTGTTGTTGTTGTGTCTCTGCCCTGTTTTGGTATCAAGATGATGCTGACTTCATAAAATGAGTTAGGGAGGAGTCCCTCTTTTTCTATAGTTTGGAATAGTTTCAGAAGGAATGATACCAGGTCATCTTAGTACCTCTGGTAGAATTTGGCTGTGAATCTGTGTGGTCCTGGAATTTTTTTGGTTGGTAAGCTGCTAATTATTGCCTCAATTTCAGAGCCTGTTATTGGTCTATTCAGAGATTCAACTTCTTCCTGGTTTAGTCTTGGGAGGGTGTATGTGTCCAGAAGTTTATCAATTTCTTCTAGATTTTCTGGTTTATTTGCGTAGTGGTGTTTATAATATTCTCTGATGGTAGTTTGTATTTCTGTGAGATCAGTGGTGATATCTCTTTATCGTTTTTTGTTGTGTCTGATTCTTCTCTCTTTTCTCCCTTTTCATAAAGCATTTCATGGATTCATTGACTTTTTGAAGGGTTTTTTGTGTCTGTATCTCCTTCAATTTTGCTCTGATTTTAGTTATTTCTTGTCTTCTGCTAGCTTTTGAATTTGTTTGCTCTTGCTTCTCTAGTTCTTCTAATTGTGATGTTAAGGTGTCAGTTTTAGATCTTTTCCTCTTTCTGATGTTGGCATTCAGTGCTATAAATTTTCCTCTAAACACTGCTCTAGCTGTGTCCCAGAGATTCTAGTACATTGTGTCTTTGTTCTCATTGGTTTCAAAGAACTTCTTTATTTCTGCCTTAATTTTGTTATTTACCCAGTAGTCATTCAGGAGCAGGTTGTTCAGTTTCCATGTAGTTGTGTAGTTTTGAGTGAGTTTCTTAATCTTGAGTTCTAATTTGATTGCACTGTGGTCTGAGAGACTGTTTTGTATGATTTCTCTTTTGCATTTGCTGAGGAGTGTCTTACTCCCAATTATGTGGCCAATTTTAGATTAAGTGTAATGTGGTTCTGAGAAGAATGCATATTCTGCTGATTAGGGGTGAAGAGTTCTGTAGATGTCTATTAGGTCTGCTTGGTCCAGAGCTGAGTTCAAGTTCTGAATATCCTTATTAATTTTCTGTCTCACTGATCTGTCTAATATTGACAGTGGGGTGTTAAAGTCTCCCACTATTATTGTGCAGGAGTCTGAGTCTCTTTGTAGGTCTCTAAGAACTTGCTTTATGAAACTGGGTGCACTTGTATTGGGTGCGTATATATTTAGGATAGTTAGCTCTTCTCGTTGCACTGATCCCTTTACCGTTATGTAATTCCCTTCTTTGTCTTTTTTGATTTAAAGTCTGTTTTATCAGAGACTAGGATTGCTACTGCTGCTTTTTTTTTTTTTTGGCTTTCCATTTGCTTGGTAAATATTCCTCCATCCCTTTATTTTGAGCCTGTGTGTGTCTTTGCACATGAGATGGGTCTCCTGAATACAGCACACTGATGGGTCTTGACTCTTTATCCAATTTATCAGTATGTGTCTTTTAATTGGAGCATTTAGCCCATTTATATTTAAGGTTAATATTGTTATGTGTGAATTTGATCATGTCATTATGATGCTAGCTGGTTATTTTGCCTGTTAGTTGATGCAGTTTCTTCATAATGTCAATAGTCTTTACAATACTGCAAAAACAGTACTGATTTTTTTATGTTGATTTATATCCTGAACTAGTTCATTAGTTTTAACAGTTTTTGGTGTAATATTTGGGGTTTCTATATATAACAATAGGTAATCAGTATACAAAGACCATTTCTTTCCTTCCTCCCTCCCTCCCTTTCTCTCTCTCTTTCTTTCTCTCTCTCTTTTGTTCATTCCGATTTGTATGCTTTTAATTTCTTTCTCTTGCCTAATTGCCATGGCTATAACTTCCAGTACTAGGTTGAATAGAAGTGGTGAGAGTGGGCATCTTTGCTTTGTTTCTGATCTGAGAGGGAAAACTTTCAAATTGATGGTCTCAGCTGTGGGGTTGTCATACATGGTCTTTATTGTGTTGTCATACATTCCTTATAACCAATTTGTTGAGACATTTCTTATGAAGAAATGTTGAATGTTTTTCAAATTCTTTTCCAATCTCAAAGTACCAGAATTCTTCCTGAGGTGTTTTTTTTTTTTTTTTGGCAGGGTCTTGCTCTGTCACCCAGACTAGAGTGCAGTGGTGTGATCATGGCTCACTGCAGACTTGACCTTCTGGTCTCCGGGAATCCTGCCTCAGCCCCCTGAATAGCTGGAACTATGGAACTATGAGCATGCACCACCACACTTGGCTAATTTTTAAATTTCTGTAGGATAGGTGTCTCACTACATAGCCCAAGTTGGTCTTGAACTTCTGGGCTGAAGCAATTCTCCTGCCTTGGCTTCCCAAAGTGCTGGGATTAGAGGTATAAGCCACCATGCCTGGTCCTTTCATGAGTTTTTATGCTTGCAATTCAGATTAATAAGTGAATGACAGTGAGAATTCAATTCTCCAATGCCTACTCTCATAATCTAAAGAAAGCAAGGCAGAAGTGTTTTCCTGAAAGGAAGAATCTTTGTTTTTAGTTTTTTAAAGATTAGGTTTACTGGATGTCAGAAAAATATGTTTACATTAAGGCAACATTGAGTATTGATGATGGTATGTAAGTTCTTAGCTGTCAAGCCTCTTAAACAGTGTTCTCTGAATTTTACATATGTGAAAAGACATTAATCCTCTTAGACTTTGGGGTTGTTGTGTGAGGCCTAGGAGGAGCACACTAGCAGTGGCCAGTCTTCTTTAATCAAGAACAGCCTTATACATTCCATGTTATGTGTGCTATGATGTGAAAATATTTGGAAAACTCTCTCTTCCCCCATTGCTGCCAGACTTATGGTCTTTCTTTGTTCCCAGGTGGCTGATTTAGGTTCCAGGCAGAATGGAATTGGGTGCCCTGGAAGCCTGAGGTAGATTTGGTACTATGGAGGGTGCACTTGCTGATATGAAGTTTTATTTTATACAAATCCTGGAGAAGCTAAGTGAGGCCATGTCAGTGTTGCCAGAAGACATGAGAATCATGCCAGATCTCTGTGGCTTAACATTGGAACATAGTGGTAAGTGCAGCTATATTTGTGTTTCTTAATAGTTGAAAGCCAGGTTTATATAAATAGGAAGAAAGAGTTTGCCATAGAATTTATGCTTTAGTTGGAGAAAAATGTAAAGTTGTTGATAAATTAGGCTGATTAAAAAATAATGTGAACACTTAAATTACCTTTAATGGAGTGCAGCCTTGAGAAGAAGATACCACGTGGTCCAAGTCTATATCAAATTTGAGTTTAAAATAGATACTTTCAGAAAAGAATCAAAAGGAAGAAAGTCTTAATGTTCACATTGAGTTAAGGTGATGGCTAGCTTTGGAACTGGAGTTCAGCCAGTAGAAGATGTGTTCAGGTCCTTTTAATCCCAAAAAGTGGATGCGAAATAACCATAAATATATGTCAGAAGAGTAAAAAAAGCCAGCAAGTTAAGATAGCAACAAAATATGGCTAAAATGAGCATTGCAATGTCCAGGAAAGCATAAACTACACGCAAAAAAGCTCAAGAATGGGATGACCAACTGAGCAAACAGTGAACTGAAAAGATATGTAAATTATTGTAACAAGTGCTAAATTATAAGTAAGGTCAGAGCAAATATTGAAACACTTGATGAATATTTTCTACTGCACTTGGAGAAGTTAAATTGATGTCAGGGACTCAGGGACTTAGAATTGGGGAGAATGAAGCAATCAGAAAGTAAGTACCAGTCAATCATCAGTCAAAAGGGGCTTTGAGGAAATTGATTTATGCTTCTGTAAAGACTTTTGATGGAGGAAGAAACAAAATATAAATTAAATTATTTGAACACATTATTAAAGGCTTTATTTGTTTTTAACTGATATACGTAATTGTTTAAGATGATGTAAAAATTTTCCAAGTTCGTTTACAATTTAAAGAGTTTGTATTGTTTAGAAGTCTGTAAAGGATGTGAGAGAAACACTGGGTAATTCTTCTTCATGTATTTTTATTTTCTTTTTTATGTAAACAACATAAATTTATTGCTTACAGTTCTGGAGGCTGGGAAGTTCAAGATCAAGGTACCAGCAAATTTCATTACCTGGTAAGCATTCATTTCTTATGGATGGTGCCTTCTGTGTGTCCGGTGTAAAGGGCAAAACAGGCTCCCTTTCCTCAAGCCTCTTGTCATTAAAGCCTGTAAAAATTACAGTAAAAGTATTCAGAATGGGTTAAGCAATTTGACCGTCAGGAAATTCAATTGAAAAGTGAGGTTCAAAACCTTCCTCAGAAAGTTAAAGTTCTAAATTGTATTGAGAAAATACAATAAAGATTCACAGAATATTTATATTAGAATGAATTAATTAAATACAGAACATTTTAAAGGCAACTAAAAAGATCAGCCATGCTCATTAAGTAACAGATACCTACAGAAAATGTCTGTCTTTGTCTTGCATTTAAAAATTGATATATCATAGTTATACATAGGCCAAACTTCTTTTTTTATTTATTATACTTTAAGTTTTAGAGTACATGTGCACAACGTGCAGGTCTGTTACATATGTATACATGTGCCATGTTGGTGTGCTGCACCCAGTAACTCGTCATTTAACATTAGATATAACTCCTAACGCTATCCCTCCCCCCTCCCCCCACCCCACAACAGGCCCTGGCACGTGATGTTCCCCTTCCTGTGACCATGTGTTCTCATTGTTCAATTCCCACCTATGAGTGAGAACATGCGGTGTTTGGTTTTTTGTCCTTGTGATAGTTTGCTGAGAATGATGGTTTCCAGCTTCATCCATGTCCCTACAAAGGAAATGAACTCATCATTTTTTATGGCTGCATAGTATTCCATGGTGTATATGTGCCATATTTTCTTAATCCAGTCTATCATTGTTGGACATTTGGGTTGGTTCCAAGTCTTTGCTATTGTGAATAGTACTGCAATAAACATGCATGTGCATGTGTCTTTACAGCAGCATGATTTATAATCCTTTGGGTATATACTCAGTAATGGGATAGCTGGGTCAAATGGTATTTCTAGTTCTAGATGCCTGAGGAATCGCCACACCAACTTCCACAATGGTTGAACTAGTTTACAGTCCCACCAACAGTGTAAAAGTGTTCCTATTTCTCCACATCCTCTCCAGCACCTGTTGTTTCCTGACTTTTTTTTTTTTTTTTTTTTTTTTTTTTTTTGAGACGGAGTCTCGCTCTGTCGCCCAGGCTGGAGTGCAGTGGCGCGATCTCGGCTCACTGCAAGCTCCGCCTCCCGGGTTCATGCCATTCTCCTGCCTCAGCCTCCCGAGTAGCTGGGACTACAGGCGCCCGCTACCACGCCCGGCTAATTTTTTGTATTTTTAGTAGAGACGGGGTCTCGATCTCCTGACCTCGTGATCCGCCCGCCTCGGCCTCCCAAAGTGCTGGGATTACAGGCGTGAGCCACCGCGCCCGGCCTGTTTCCTGACTTTTTAATGATCGTCATTCTAACTGGTGTGAAATGGTATCTCACTGTGGTTTTGATTTGCGTTTCTCTGATGGCCAGTGATGATGAGCATTTTTTCATGTGTCTTTTGGCTGCATAAATGTCTTGTTTTGAGAAGTGTCTGTTCATGTCCTTCACCCACTTTTTGATGGGGTTGTTTGTTTTTTTCTTGTAAATTTGTTTGAGTTCATTTTAGATTCTGGATATTAGCCCTTTGTCAGATGAGTAGGTTGCAAAAATTTTCTCCCATTCTGTAGGTTGCCTATTGACTCTGATGGTAGTTTCTTTTGCTGTGCAGAAGCTCTTTAGTTTAATTAGATCCCATTTGTCAATTTTGGCTTTTGTTGCCATTGCTTTTGGTGTTTTAGACATGAAGTCCTTGCCCATGCCTATGTCCTGAATGGTATTGCCTAGGTTTTGTTCTAGGGTTTTTCTGGTTTTAGGTCTAACATTGAAGTCTTTAATCCATCTTGAATTAATTTTTGTATAAGGTGTAAGGAAGGGATCCAGTTTCAGCTTTCTCCATATGGCTAGCCAGTTTTCCCAGCACCATTTATTAAATAGGGAATCCTTTCCCCATTGCTTATTTTTGTCAGATTTGTCAAAGATTAGATAGCTGTAGATATGTGGCGTTATTTCTGAGGGCTCTGTTCTGTTCCATTGGTCTATATCTCTGTTTTGGTACCAGTACCATGCTGTTTTGGTTACTGTAGCCTTGTAGTATAGTTTGAAGTCAGGTAGTGTGATGCCTCCAGCTTTGTTCTTTTGGCTTAGGATTGACTTGGCAATGTGGGCTCTTTTTTGGTTCCATATGAACTTTAAAGTACTTTTTTCCAATTCTGTGAAGAAAGTCATTGGTAGCTTGATGGGGATGGCGCTGAATCTATAAATTACCTTTGGCAGTATGGCCATTTTCACAATATTGATTCTCCCTACACATGAGCATGGAATGTTCTTCCATTTGTATCCTCTTTTATTTCATTGAGCAGTGGTCTGTAGTTCTCCTTGAAGAGGTCCTTCACATCCCTTGTAAGTTGGATTCCTAGGTATTTTATTCTCTTTGAAGCAATTGTGAATGGGAGTTCACTCATGATTTGGCTCTCTGTTTGTCTGTTATTGGTGTATAAGAATACTTGTGATTTTTGCACATTGATTTTGTATCCTGAGACTTTGCTGAAGTTGCTTATCAGCTTAAGGAGATTTTGGGCTGAGACGATGGGGTTTTCTAGATATACAATCATGTCATCTGCAAGCAGGGGCACTTTGACTTCCTCTTTTTCTAATTGAATACCCTTTATTTCTTTCTCCTGCCTGATTGCCCTGGCCAGAACTTCCAACACTATGTTGAATAGGAGTGGTGAGAGAGGGCATCCCTGTCTTGTGTACATAGGCCAAAATTCTTAAAGAAAAATTGGAAAAAATTACTTGTTCCTATCAAAGACTCACTATTTCCCATATTTAAAAAGCTTATAGTTATTGACTTATAGTTCAGTTGAACCTCAATGAGGTTCAATGAGTTAGGAAAATCCATATGAAAGACCAGAGATCAGCTAATTTTCCCCACAAGAGCCAGATGGAAAATAGTTCAGGTTTTGCAGGCCAGGAAGCAAAATTTAAATATTATGAAATAATTAAATATTAAATATTATGAAAATAAGTAAATAAAATTTAAATATTATGAAACTATAAATATTAAATATTAGGCAACAAGACAGAAAAATTCCCACATAATGTTCTATTGGCTAAAAAAAAAAAACCCTGACAATAGTGAATGCTAGAAAAAAAATGCAGAACAAGGGGAACTCTTATTTATTACTGATGAGAATGCAAAATGTTAAAATCACTTTGAGGAACCACTTGGCAGTTTCTTATAAAGCTTAAAATAAACTCAACATATGACCCAACCCCATCATTCTTCATAGAACTAGAAAAAACAATCCTAAAATTCATGTGGAACCAAAAAAGAGCCCACATAGCCAAAGCAAGACTAAGCAAAAAGAACAAATCTGGAGGCATCACATTACCTGATTTGAAACTATACTATAAGGCCATAGTCACCAAAACAGCATGGTATGGGTATAAAAGTAGGCACATAGACCCATGGAACAGAATAGAGAACCAAGAAATAAAACCAAATACTTATAACCAACTGATCTTTGACAAAGCAAACAGAAACATAAAGTGGGGAGAGGACATGCTATTCAACAGATGTTGCTGGGATAATTGGCAAGCCATATGTAGGATAATGAACCAGGATCCTCATCTCTCACCTTATACAAAAATCAACTCAAGATGGATCAAAGCTGAGTGCGGTGGCTCACGCCTGTAATCCCAGCACTTTGGGAAGCCGAGGCAGGTGGATCACGAGGTCAGGAGATCAAGACCATTCTGGCTAACATGGTGAAACCCCGTCTCTACTAAAAATACAAAAAATTAGCTGGGCATGGCAGCGGGCGCCTGTAGTCCCAGCTACTCGGGAGGCTGAGGCAGGAGAATGGCGTGAACCCAGGCAGCAGAGCTTGCAGTGAGCTGGTATTGAGCCACTGCACTCTAGCCTGGGGGACAGAGCAAGACTCTGTCTAAAAAAAAAAAAAAAAAGATGGATCAAAGACTTAAATCTAAGACCTAAGACCTGAAACTATAAAAATTCTAGAAGATAACATTGAAAAAAACCTTCTAGACATTGGCTCAGGCAAAGATTTCTGACCAAGAACCCAAAAGCAAATGCAACAAAATCCAAGATAAATAGGTGGGGTTTAATGAAACTAAAGAGCTTTGGCACAGCAAAAGAACAGTCAGCAGAGTAGATTACTCACAAAGTGGGAGAAAATTTTTCACAATCTATACAATCTGTACATCTGACAAAGGACTAATAATCCAGTATTTACAAGGAACTCAGACAAATTAGCAAGAAAAAATCAAACAATCCCATCAATAAGTGGGCTAAGGACATGAATAGACAATTCTCAAAAGAAGATATACAAATGGCCAGCAAACATATGAATAAATGCTCAACATCACTAATGATCAGAGAAATGCAAATCAAAACTGCCATGAGATACCAACCTTACTCCTGCAAGAATGACCATTATAAAAAATTTTTAAAAAATATATATTGGCATGGATGTGGTGAAAGGGAACACTTCTACACTGCCGATGGGAATGTAAACTAGTACAACCACTATGGAAAACAGTGTTGAGATTCCTTAAAGAACTAAAAGTGGAACTACCATTTGATCCAGCAATCCCCTTACTGGGTATCTACTCAGAGGAAAAGAAGTCATTATACGAAAAATATACTTGCACATGCATGTTTATAGCAGCACAATTTGCAATTGCAAAAATGTGGAACCAGTCCAAATGCCCATCAATCAACGAATAGATAAAGAAACTGTGGTATATATATATATATATATATATACACACAATGGAATACTACTCAGCCATAAAAAGGAATGAATTAATGGCATTCACAACAACCTAGATGGGATTGGAGACTATTATTCTAAATGAAGTAACTCAGGAATGGAAAACCAAATATTGTATGTTCTTGCTCATAAGAGGGAGCGAAGCAATGAGGATGCAAAGGCATAAGAATGATACAATGGACTTTGGGGACTGGGTGGGGGAAAGGGTAGGAGGGGAGGGAGGGATAAAAGACTACAAATTGAGTTCAGTGTATACTGCTCAGGTGGTGGGTGCACCAAAATCTCACAAATCACCACTAAAGAACTTATGTAACCAAATACCACCTGTTACCTAAAAACCTATGGAGATAAAAAATTTAAAAAAACATTCAGCTACAAACCTCTTTTGCTACACTCATTGTTTAGTATATGACACATTTTTGCATGATTCTGTTATATAGGTTTTAATAGTAGGTAATTAGGACAGTGGGTAATACTTATCATTCATTCATTTATTTAAAAAATACTTATTTAGAGCCCATTCTCTCAATACAGGTCAGTACTATGAAGGAGAGGTACACAGTGAAATCAGGCCTAGTCCTTACAGACATGTTGGTATGCCAGGGAGTCAACTTTCCTCCAAAAGAGTGATGTTTCCTTGTCTCCAACAATGGCAAAACTATAATATATAATATTTCTTTATCAGCGGTTTGCACATTGTGTGTTAATAGATTTTGTTCTTGTCATTCAGAAGAGCACAGTGGAAATACATGAAGGATGGGCAGATGTGTGAAGGCCTCAAATGAATGTATGTAGTTGTTAGAAAAACAAATGTTTTTCTTAAACACAAGTTGAAAGACAGGGGAGCAGAGGAAGTATAAGAAAAATTATGGATTTATAATGAGGAGAGTTGATGTTATGGATAAAGTCAACAGAACACTGCCTTCTTACATCATTATCCAACTTTCTACTTTGTCACCTCTATCTCAAAATTGACGGTCTGATAGCTAGTTTATTTTATATTTGCCCCAGGTTGTGCTCTACCTTCTTTTTCCATTTTCCTTCTGCTGAATATTCTGATTTTAAATGATGAGACGATTTAATCCTTCGGTTACCTACCAAATACATCTAATTTTCTCATTCTAGGTAGGTTGTCTTCCCATTGAAGGGTGAGTGGCTCTCAATATTAAGAGACAACATAGAAATTTCTGAAGATTTTAACTTCTCCATCTGATAACCTAGAAATAATTACTTCAGTCAAATACCTCAGAAGGAAGAAATCCCATTAAGATCGATAGGAAAGAGTCAGATATTATTTTTGAATTATTTTATTTGTAAAGGATCAGTGAATTTGTGGTTGAGAGGGTCAGTTATGGAATATGAGATATTAACCTATTTGATCTTGCTGGCAATCCATAAAAAGTTAATTTGCAAATAAAAGATTAGCCTTTAAATCACATTCATAATAACAAGAAGGTAAACTGCAGTCTATATTACTCATATATATTTTTCAAAGTAACACATAAAATGATAGGACTTGATTTTTGCTCTGAGTAAATGAGTCAGTCTATTAACATTTATTTATTGCCCACTTTTTAGATGCCTATGGATATTTCTAGATAAATACAAAGGAATATAAGGACATAGTTCTCACTACCATGCAAATTGCAGACAATCTGAGGATTAGGATTCACACTTGAAATGATATCCAACAAACCCCATTGTGTGGTACAAAAGCATATATGTAGACAGGGTGGGTAGTAAAGAATGCTAACAATTTTGGAGGAGGTTAAATCAACATGTAATTTTAGAACAGGAGATCTTCTGACCTGTATATGAAGAATGTGGAGTATAAAAATAATTACTTTTGTTCTCTTCCTGGTGATACAAAAAGACAAGAAGCCTCCTCATTGCCCCTTTTATGTCCCTGTTGCTCAAAGTGTAGATAAAAGGGTTAAGCATAGGAGTCACCAAACTGTAGAACAGGGACATGAATTTGTTTTTGTCCTGGGAGTTGGCAGAGGGCTGTACATACATGCTAATTACAGGCCCATAGAGGAGAGATACAATATGAGAACCACATGTGTTGAAGACCTCCTTCTTTCCCCCTGAGGACTGAATCCTCAGCACAGTAGCTACAATGAATCCACAGTAAGCAAAGATAATTGATTAGAGAACGAGGGACTAAAATATCCTCACAATGGAGAGCATAGATACATTGAATGTGGTGTCAAAACGTGATATCTTGATCATCGCTGAGACCTCACACAGAAAGTCGTCCACCTTGTTACCGCCTAGTGGCAGCTGGACGGCAAGGGATGACTGAAGTAGAGTTGGCCAAACTGCTTAGCCATGCCATGGCCACTAGGAGGACACAGAGTTGCTGATGCATGATAGCTGGGTACCTCAAGTGTTTGCAGATGGCAATGTAAGGATCCAAAGACGTCACAGCTAAAATGATGCATTTGGTGCTCCCCTAAAATATCCCCTGGGTACCACAATAATTGAGATGTTGTCCACCAGTATGCAGAGATAAGCAACAAGCCCCATTATGAAGAGAAACATTTCCGGCTAGGGGTGGTCAAAGAAACCCCAGAGAATGAAGATCTTTCGAGCAATTGCATTGCCCAGATTCCTGTCATTGCTCTTGTTGGTGGATTTGAGGGAAAGGAAAGGCTACTTTAGTATTGAATTTTTCTGATACTCCACTTATTCAGTTAAGTAAAATAAACTGAGTTATGAAGGGGTTTTCTCTGTGATGTAACTAAACTGATGTGATTTGACACTTGTAAGCATGAAAAATTTTATCTAAAGGCCAAAATGTTACCTTTCTAGTGCCTCTAAAAGGAAGATCAACAAATCTCTGTATCTTACCCAAGAAATGCAATATAGCAAACTTTTACAGAATAATGATTAAGTAATGGGAAACATAATTAATCTTATATTAGAAAAATGAATCAGATGGAGAAATGAATAATTTTAAAGAATGCCCAAGAACTACCCATGCTAACTAACACGTGTTAATTTCTTTCATCCAAAATCTGTTGGCCCTGGTCATGTTCTGGTTCAATTTGTGAGTTGATGTAGGTGAGTTCAGAACTCACTGAGCTCCACGTGGATCAGTCTGATTTGCATAGAAACAACATAGTGCTATTCCTTACCTCTTCTTCCCAAATCCTGGAATGACGATCGCCAACATAAAACTTTTGTCATAAAAGGAAGCACACAGCTGAAAGGAAATGGTTCCTTGCAACACGTTCAGTACTTACAAGACAAGATAATTCATTGCACAGCCAAGTGATATAAGGTCATTAAAGTATCAGCAGTTATACAGTATGATGTATGTTAGTGCTTTTCACACTGTGAGTTGTAATCTATTACGCAGTTATATACTATTTTATTGATTTATTTTACTTATTCTCATCACTCATTTTATATATGTGTTTGTATGACCTGGATTCTGATGTACAATATATTCCTTACTATAGGTAATGGTAAAAAATTTGGACAATACTGGCATAGTAGAAAAGAAACAAGAATGATATTAGAAAATCTAGATTTAGTCCACTTCCCAATTACTAATACATGTACATTTTAGGTCTTGCTTAAATATTCAGAAACTTCTTTATCTATCTTGCTCCGTTGTGGAGATTAATTAGCACCATATGTGTGAACACGCTTTATTAAGTCCAATACTCAATGTTGGGTTGGTTATTTTTCATGAAATAAAGTTCCCTGTTTGATTTTAAGTCTATATCTGATAGTTAATTTTTCTTTGTATCCAAATATTAACCATGTCCTTATATTCCCATAAGAAGTCTTAGAAGGGTTGTTTTTTCTACCATTTTATTTCCCTACATTACTCAGATCCCTTGCCTTGAATCTGATGTTAATGATTTCTAGATTTTAATATCAGTACACATATGTTTTTAATCAGTGGAAATGCTCACAAATGCAAACAGTACCATAGATTATTTTTCAAAAACATGTTTCAATGTTTTAAATTATAATGATTAGTATTAGTATTAATAGGTGTCAATTTATTTATACTTTTTTTAACTGCTCCTTGCCTAGCAGGGCTATCCTATAGGCAGTGTGCCCACAGTAGCCTTTTTTAAAATAGTTTTTTTAGTATGCAAATTTTCATAAGGAGATCACAACATGCATGTGGTTGTATAAAAAGATTAAATCAATCAAGCTAAATAGATCATTTCTACTCATATGCAACAGTTGCCTAAATCAGTGTTGATATTTTTTAGGGGTACCCTCTTTTCTTGCAAAAAAGAACATTAATCTTTTTCTTCCATCAGAATTCAGTGTTAATTGGGGATAAAGATTGAATGTTCTTTCTGTATTCAGTGGTTTTATGTCATATCAGAGGTCTTTAATAGTTATTTATTTGATTGAAAGGATCCCAAATCTTTTGATTTATTGTTTATTTATTTATTTATGCTTTAACTTTTAATTAAAATGCTTAGGATACAGATTGACTTTCTTTTGTAAATGACTGTTTTACTTTTTCTGAAATAGGACATACATGCACTCTGATAAAACAGAATGAAACATCTTAATTCATGAGAATTCCTGTACAAGGCGCTGATCCTGTGTTTAGAGCTGAGCTCCTCACAGCAGCTGCCCTACGTAGAACCGACAGTTTTCTAGCTTGCAACAAAGTTACTAGGGACAAATAGGGAAAAAAAATCCGAAACTAAAAGTAAGAAAACCAACATGGAAGCAATCATACTTCTCATGTCTCTGATAAGAGAAGTATGGGGAACCTTTAACCAAAGGAAAATTTAAAAAAAATGCAAGTTAACTATCTAGTTCATTCACTGTTAGCTAGATTTGTTCAGTTAAGGCTTTAACCCCTTTCCAAACAATTTTATCTTAATCCAGCTATGCTTGCTAATAAATGAAATGCATGCACTTCCCGGAAATATACTTCACTGAGCCTCTGCATTCAGTACCTGGCAGTGAAAAAGTATGTTTCCCGAACAAGTCAGTACTGAAGACTGAGAACTCCAACTAAATAACTATACTCTCTCCCCAATAATATGTTATCCACATTTTCCCTACCCTCACATTAGAATAAAGATATCCTCCTAACTTTTCATCTCCTATCTCCTGTCTTTTCCTAGGAGATCTTATCTTTTGATCTTTTACTACAAGGGTAGAATTTAGGTTAAGATCATAAAAAACCAATTTCACATGTGACACTAAGAAAATGGAATGCTATAAAATCAATCCTCATCACCGTGGTAGGGATGCTGTTGCTTTTATCCTGAGTCTTTACTGCCAATAAGTGATGCTGCTTCCAAAGGAACAGCTCTACAGAAAGTTTTTGAGTTAGTGTTTCCCCCCAGCTTATTTCTACAATGGGGAAAGGCAATTTCATATTAAAAAAATCCACACAAACACACCTGGAAAAGCTACAGATGTTAACCTTTACTTTAAACACAGCAACGTAGATATCTAAGGAGATAAGATGTAAGACAAAGAGCTCAGGAAAAATCCAATAGAGACCAAATTCTGCAAATGGAAATTTTAAAGCCCAGTGAGTAAATTTTTCCTGCATTCAGACAAGTGCTACAATACATTTAAGTCCTCAACTCCCAGAATTAAGAGCCCTTAAGCTGTTAACTTTGTCCTGTCTTCCTATTCAGAAAAATTTTCCTCTAGAATCTGTGCAAAAGTAACTGACACACCTGCAGTATGTGACAACATAAGAGATGTTCTCAACTTTTTCATGAGGTGAAAGTTACTTTTTATAACTGAAAATGAAAAAGGAAGGTGCTATAGAGGGAAATAAAATTTCACCAAAGTATAAAAGTAAAGACTGGATGAAACCTATAACTTTATAAATAAGAATAATAACAGTAACTTACACTATAATTAACTGCTCAATAGTGAATGATCTGCTACACATTCCTTGAGAAGGAATGACCCTAGCTTACCACAGTGGAAACCTGCCGCAATTACAAGGCCAGGATTCTGCCCCTTTTCTGGTTCTCTGTTCACAAGGTAATGCCACCTTCTCCAAGGCAGTTAGAGAGACAGGTGAGCTCAGGGGAGCTTCTCTCACCAACCTGCTAACTCAGCAGGAGTGAGTTTACCCAAATGAGCTCTGGCCTCCAATGTGTATCTGTTCATAATTTTATGAAGTATCTAAATGTCATTCATTAGTTTAAAAAAGAATAGAAAACTCTGGACTAAGTAAATTTTGAACTCGAAAAGTTAGAAGGGGTATCAATTATATTAACAACACTTTCTTTAAAAATAGAATCACTTTCTTTTGAAATCAACCAGAGTGGTGAGATGTGTTTTTCTTTTCAGGTGCCCCATAATGGCACACAGCTTTACTCAGCAACCCCTGCCAGCTTCCAAGCCCCAGGATACTGACCTGCACCAGCACATGGGGCAGCATTACCTCCCCAACAGTGTGGAGAAGAGAACATTTCACCACTGGGTGATGAGAGTAGACAGTGACTCTTGGCTTCTCAATGCTAGACATGATTGGAGACCTTTCATTGTTCTATTAGAAAAGTCCATGAAGAAGCTGTGAACAGGATCAGTCCAGAGGAGAAAAACTCTTATTTTCTCTGTCCAAACATCAGTCAATACATTGGGAGAGCCAGCAGAATCCCTCGCCCTAGCCTTGCCTCTTGAGCACACTGCACATGAACACTTCAGTGGGGTGAGCGTTCAGCTCCTAAAGGGCCATGTTCCTCTTTCCTGTGGTCTGTCCAGAAAGCCCAAATATCTCAAAGAGTTTTTCTTCACTTATTGCATTGTTCTGTCTATTTTGTTACCCAATATAAGGATTGGCACATTGGATATTATTTCATCAGTCATTAAAGCATTAAGCTCAACTTTAGATTCCATGAGGCCAGAATGATCTGCAGAATCCACCAGAAAAACAATCTCATTAATTGCTTGGAGATAATTTTTTCAAACCTGACATGCTTGCTTGTGTCCACCAAGATCAAGAGTTGTAAAAGTCATTCCAGCAATTAATAGCTTTTCTGATGTCGGATGTAGTGTTGGAACATGTTGACCCAATCTGTCATCTTTGAGCATGTGAAGAAGAGTGGTTTTGCCTGCGTTGTCCAAACCGAAAAATACAAGTTTTCCAAATTTCTTGTAGAGTCCTAGGAACTGGAGCACACTGCTGAAGCCATTGTAGATCCACTCAAAGAGGAAAGACATTATTCATGCTTATTATGGCCTGAAGGGCTCCTCCAGCAAAGGTGGGTGGCCCAGGCCCTCCCTCAGAGCACACCCCAAATATTTTCAAATATGAAAACCTACTTACTCTTTAGAGGTAAGGAAGGTACTTTAAAAAATTTATTTTATTTTATTTAAGTTCTGGGATACATGTGTGGGATGTGCAGGTTTGTTACATAAGTAAACGTGTGCCATGGTGGTTTGCTGCATCTATCAACCCATCACGTATGTATTAAGCCCAGCATGCATTAGCTATTTTTCCTGATGTTCTCCCTCCCCTCTCCACCCCCAGACAGGCCCCACTGTGTGTTGTTCTCCTCCCTGTATCCATGTTTTCTCATTGCTCAGCTCATCATTCCATGAGTGAAAACATGCAGGGTTTGGTTTTCTGCATAATGGTTCCTGCATAATGGCTTCCAGCTCCATCCATGTCCCTGCAAAGGACACGATCTTGTTCTAAAGGTACTTTAAAAAAAGTACTTTATAGGGTTGCCACTCACTCTATAAAGCTGTGAAACTTTGTTCTCTGTACAGATAATAGAGTTGAAATTTCTTGGTAAGGGTCATTATAGCAATTCCTTAGTGGGTATGCTTCCCTCTAACTTCCTTGCCATAATAAAATGAAATGATAAATTTTGGCACCTGTTATTTATAATGGACTCAGGTCTGAGAGAAGCCAAGGAAACTGAATCTGCCTTAACAATTTTATAAAAATTTCCTTGGATCACAAGGAGGAAATTAAGATTATTATTTTAGGTGCCAAGATCTAATTTTCTTTTATTTATAGTTTTTCTCAAGATATTATTTCTTTAGATTTCTGCTACCATAGAGCCATCATAATCCTAGTTCCACATACAGACAAAAGAAGTCTTCAATAATTTCTTCCACAATAACCCAACACAGTATAGACTTTTTACCTTCCATTGACTACATTAAAGTTCCTCATTTTATTTAAACCATAAAAACATTGTGTCAAGAAGATATTAACATACATTAATGTTATTAAAACATGATTAAAAATCATGGAATCTGGAATTTTGAAAATATGGGTCCTGAAAACTTTTGGCCATGGGCTTGTTTTTAAAGTAATTGCTTTTTTCACCCATGGTTCACAATTAGCAGCAGATCTAGCAATCTGGAATCCTTCTAGCCAAGTTCACACTGATCATCTCAGGCTTGTTCTTTGCTCCCACTTTTGTTTTCATCATTTGCTGCATTCTATAACTATATTCAGCTTCTGGTCCTTTATTTTTTAAAACAATATTTAATTGACAATAAAGATTGTATATATTCAAGGTGTGCAGTGTGATGATTTGATATACGTATACCCTTTGTTTTTATTTCTTTTCTGTCTGAATCCACTCCCACCCAATTCATTATTGACATTAATGAATACATTTGACTTATTCTCGGTAACCCTCAGCTTTATGTAGGGATACAGTATATATATATATATTTTTTTTCCCTATTATAGCTTTAATTTTAAAACATGATCCTTTCTGATGGTATTAGTTTCCTTACATCATCCTGCTGGTGTGGAAGTGAAAAGTGAATGATAAATTCTTACTACACAGTTAATCTAGTTAATGAAACTATCATTCTCAGCAAACTAACCCAAGAACAGAAAACCAAACACTGCATGTTCTCACTCATAAGTGGGAGTTAAACAATGAGAACACATGGAACAGGGAGAGGAACATCCCACACTGGGGCCTGTCAGGGATGGAGGACTGGGGGAGGGATAGCATTAGGAGAAATACCTAATGTAGATGACAGGTTGGTGGGTGCAGCAAACCACCATGGCACATGTATACCTATGTAACAAACCTTCACATCCTGCACATGTACCCCAGAAAAACTGTAATAATAAAAAAAGGTAAAATAGCGATATAAAATAGAAATTTATGAGTATATACTGATAAAAATATAAAAAATGAATACATGAAGGGGGAAAAGGGAAAACTCTTAATGGCACATCAGTTAATAAATATAGAGGGCATACTAGGATTGGAGAATTATTAATAGATGTTAAAATTAGTGGGTGAAAGTTTAAGACATTTACATAGTTATGCTGTCTGCCACAAATTACTTATTAATTTCTCAGGAAAAAGGCATAATGAGATCTGGGGGACACCATGTTAGTCAAGTGACTAAAGTTAACAGCATCGATTTTAAGACAAACTATCCTTATACACTTTTCTGAAATGTTGCATCATTATTGGCTCCTGAATGGGAGAAAATATAAAGAACATTTTGGAGATAATTAACAAGATCTGAATATGAACTATTGATTACATAATAGTATTATATGACTGTAAAATGTCCCAGTTTTTATGATTGTACTGGCTATGTATGGAAGTTAATGTCCTTAGCAACTATACACTAAAGTGTATGTAGTAATAAAAAGGTTGGGAAAAATTTCATAGATATGAAAACTACATTTATATATTACATATGTGTAAAAGTAAGGCAAATGTAAATGAATGATGACTCTGGAAAAGGGTATTTAAAGTTCTGTATTATACTTGCAACTTTAAAAATTACATTAAAAATACATTATAAATGTAAAATGTAGTAAACTACATTAAATAAAAAGATGACAATAAAAAGAACACTTGTGGTTATGATACTTCCTGCCAGATCAAGGCCTTAGCATCTACTGTTTTGTCTACTCTGAAGAATTTACTACCTCACTTATAGATCTGAGCCTAAATGACACTTCCCTAGAAGAGCTTTCCTTGAACCTTTCCTGGTTTAAACTAATCACCCATCCATTTTATTCATGAAGCCTTGTCATTTTTACTTTATAGTACTTAGTACAACTTGTAATTACATGTTTAGTATTATTATTTGTTTTCTTTCTCCCACTAGACTATAAAGTTTGTGAGGGAAGGAATTGTGTCTGTCTTATTCACTAACAAATACTCGGCAAATAGCAAAATCTGTATGTATAGTAAGCGATTGAAAAACATTAGGCAAATTTATAACTATTTTAATATCTGTATATACTATATATCTATATATAATATCTTTGCTCTGGATGTGCACTTAGGAAGGCAGAGAAAATTTAAGTGTCTCTGATTTAGGTGGTATGTGATAATAATGTAGATACAAGTAATATAAAAATATTTTAGAACATTGATGGTGATTCAAATTTTAGAGCTCAACCCATCTTATTTTTGTTATTTAAGTTACTAATGCCCCCCAAAGTATAAATATTTATAAAATTATTTTTAAGAAGACTTTGGGAAATTATTAATGGTAAGCTTGAAGGTTGGAGTAGATATTTCTAAAATTAGTTGCCAAATTTATAAATACATTAATAAAAATTTCACTATCAATAATTTTTATTTCAAATAAAATTCAACTTTAGGTTATTATGGCTTTAAGATAGTGTCTAATGGGAAGCAAATAAACATTAATGCAAGACTTTTCAAGGTGAAATAGACTTAGAGCACCAGTTTTATGATGTTTAGACTTTTTCCTAATACTTAAGAAATTGTATGATGAAATCAGAAAATACAGAAAAATAAGAAGCCTGGAATAAAAATTTCCTGATATCCTGTCACTTACCTCACCACAGTTAGCTTGGTGAACTTATTTCTAGTGTTTTCTTACACATATAGGTATACATAAAATTAGGGTCATGTTCTAAGTGTAGAATCGTTTCTTGAGTTTTCTCCACCACTTAACAGTGAGTATTTCTCCATAATATTATTTTTTTTAAAAAAAATGGCCAATTAACATATGCTGGTAAACAAGTCCATCATAAAGGCTTAAACCAACAAATATTTCATTTTTGCTTATGTTTTGTGTTTATTGAATGTTGCTAGGGACTTGTCCATGTCATTGTGCATTAGGGATCCAAACTGATGAAGTAGACACTATCCAAAGTTCTCTAGATTGTTGTGATAGAGGGAAATAAAAGTTGCAAAACACACTCTGCCCTTAAAATGTCTTCCCAGAAGTTAAACAATCACTGTAACCACTGGGCAGTTCTTGTGAGGCGTTCCAAATGTGAGTTTGGAAATGTCCCTATATCCCACTCATTGAAAAGTAGCTCCTCCATCCATTGTTCTTCATAACCCTCGGGTTCCACTCAGTTGTTAGGTTCATTATCTGCCTTCTAAGTTATTGCAGGTGATAGTTTATGAAATGTTTCCTTATTGTATAACATGGATCACTTTATCTCCCTTCCTCCCTCCCTCCCTTCCTCCCTCCCTTCTCTTTTTCCTTCCTTCCTTCCTTCCTTCCTTCCCTTTTTCCTTCCTTCCTTCCCTTTTTTTTCTTCTTTCCCTTCCCTCCCTCCCTCTCTCTTTCTCTTTCTTTTCTTTCCTTTCTCTCTTTCTTTCTTTCTCTTTCTTTTCTTTCTTTTTTCTCCTCTTTCTTTCACCCTCCCTGTCTTTCTTTCTTCTTTCTTTCTTTTTCTTTCTTTCTCTCTTTCTTCTCTTTCTTTCTTTTTTTTGAGACAGGGTCTTCTCTGTCTGTACTCTGCAGTGGTGTGATCTTGGCTCCCTGCTGCCTTAACCTCCCAGGCTCAGGTGATCCTTCTGCCTCAGCATCCCCTAGTAGCTGGGACTACAAGTGTTTGCTCCTACACCCAATGAATTTTTGTATTTTTTTAGAGATGAGTTTTCACTACTTTGCTCAGGCTTGTCTTGAACTCCTGAGCTCAGGCAATCTGCCCACCTTGGCCTCCCAAAGTGCTGGGATTACAGGTGTGAGCCACCAAACCTGGCACCATAATTTCAATCTCTCTCATTTTTTATTAGACTTTTACTTTAGGTTCAGGGGTACATGTGCAGGTTTGTTA
This sequence comes from Homo sapiens, assembly GCF_000001405.40. Taxonomy (NCBI): domain Eukaryota; kingdom Metazoa; phylum Chordata; class Mammalia; order Primates; family Hominidae; genus Homo; species Homo sapiens. The sequence goes on from NT_167246.2 coordinate 347,557, forward strand.
CGTAGGTAAATCGTATTTCATAGGGTTTGTTGTATAGACTATTTCACCACCCAGGTGATAAGCATAGTATATGATAGGTAGTTTTTTAGTCCTTAAAAAACTAAACCACCCTCAAGTAGGCCTCAGAGTCTACTTTTCCCTTCTTTGTGTTCATGTGTACTCAGTGTTTAGTTCTCACTTATGAATGAGAGTGTGAGGTATTTGGTTTTCTGTGCCTACGTTACTTTGCTTAAGAAAATGGTCTTCAGCTCCATCCATGTTCCTGCAAAAGGCATCATCTAATTCTTTTTCTGTGGCTGCTTAGTATTCCATGGTGTATATGTAGCACATTTTCTTTAGCCAGTCTACCCCAGGAGAGGCCGGCAGACAAGGGAGCACTCAGATTAGACTGGTCCCATCCCACAGGTAAGATAGCCCTGCTCCGTTCAGGTCTGGCAGTTACCATAGGCTGAGACCACCTAGAGGAGCATGGTGAGCTTTGGGGGAATGGGCGTCTCTGGCCATGCTCCACTGCAGCCGTTCCTGTGTCAGACCCTCTGGGCTTTTCACAGGCTGAAGTCCTGTCCTTGCCACCTTTCCAAATAGCTCTCCCTGCCAGCTCAAGTGTCCGCGGGGTCATGGGGTCTCCTGCAGTTGGGATTCTGGAGGTCTGTGGCGAGAGTGGCCACTCCTCGTGTGTTCAACGGACCTCTTCCCCAGGAGTCACTGCGGGCCAAGAACATGGGCCAGAAACGAGTCCGGGTACTCTGCAACTCCGTGCAAAGTTCCGAGGTTTCTCACCCTCCAGCCCAGGTTCTATGTCCTCCCTCTGTCCACCCTCAATGCCTTCCCTCCGAAGATCGGCTCGGAGTATGCCAGTCTTCCTGATATCCTGGTCTGTTGTGGAAGATGTTCTTCCTGGCTGTGTCACTGACCATCTTGGCCCCTCTCAGTTTCAAGCTTTACTATCATATCCCTCATCATCTGCCATGTGATCCTTTTGCCAGTGCCTCATATTTTAATTTCCTAACATTTGTTTCAGGCTGATTGAGAACCTACCTGGAACATTGTTTTGATTGCCAGAGGGAAAGAGAACATGGCAGAGTATGTACTAGATTTTGAAGTCATCAAAAAATAACCCACATCATTTCTCTTCACATTTTATTGGCAAATCATATTAAACAGCCAGGTCTGCATTCGATAGGACAGGGATGTGCAATTTTACCATCTGCCTAGAAGGGGAGAAAAAATAAAATATTTATAAACATTCCTAATGTATTCAATTTATGAAAAATACTCTACTTTCAAAATACTCAAGGAAATAACAAATAGGAACTTGATAATGTTTCTGCTTCTAAAATTGGCATATTCATCAAAAGATGAAACTCTCAGAGTTTGCAAAAGCTCGTGAAGCAACCATTCTCATTTGCTATATACAGTGATCTATCTGGGAATGTGGAATGTTATAAAATTTCTACAGCACAATTTGACCATATCTATTAACTCTTAGATCTTCTAAGAAATTTATAATTAGAGCCAGTAATTCAGTTTTTCAGAATATAAACTGACATTTAGACACAAATTCATATTGAATTATTGGCAGTAGTAGTAACAATAATCAAAACAAGGAGTGTAAATATGCTCAACAATAGGAAAGTGGTTAAATAGATTTTAATACACTTCCTTGGTGAAATTAAATTTGCAGCTTTTTTTTTTTTTTTTTTTTTTTTGAGATGGAGTCTCGCTCTGTCGCCCAGGCTGGAGTGCAGTGGCGCAATCTCGGCTCACTGCAAACTCCGCCTCCTGGGTTCACGCCATTCTCCTGCCTCAGCCTCCCGAGTAGCTGGGACTACAGGCGCCTGCCACCATGCCCGGCTATTTTTTTGTATTTTTAGTAGAGACGGGGTTTCACCGTGTTATCCAGGATGATCTCGATCTCCTGACCTCGTGATCCACCCGCCTCGGCCTCCCAAAGTGCTGGGATTACAGGTGTGAGCCACCATGCCCGGCCCAATTTGCAGCTATTTCAATTATGTTTTAAATACCAGAAAACATAGGAATATTTTCTGATATAATGCACACGAAAAAACGCAAACTCCGCTGGTAGTGAGTTGGGAGAAGTGCATAAAGGTAGATTGGGTAACAACAGAGATCCAGGTAAAAGGTGGATCCCTTTGTGTTCTTTCATTTTTTGTGTTTTCTGAAGATATGATCGATATAGGAAAAATGATTCCCATTAACATTTCTATAATTAGCTCTATAATTAAGGGGTCATTCCACATGCCTGAGGTAGAACTTGGGACAAATATGGAATTTGACAAAAGGGAAAAACAAGGAGAAATGCTATCCAGGGGAATAAAGAGATGAATTGAAATAGAATTTGAAATAAAACTCAACAGACATTTCTTCAGTCTCTTCTTTTTCCACTTATTTGAAATGTCATCTAAATATTATTATAGTTATATATAATATAATTGTAATTGTATATAAGATAATTATAATTATATAATATAATTATATATAATATAATAATATATAATATAATAATATATAATATAATTATATATAATATATCATTATCATAATTATATGTGATATAGAACTATATATAATATATAATTATATTACATCGTCAACCTCATCTTGCCTGGTTTTGTATTGTTTAACTGCTAAATTACTTGTAATGATGAAATGCTTTGTTTTGTAAAGCTTTCTCTGTTGCCTGAAATGTTGCCTCATCTGTGTCCTTACATTACTAACTGTAAACCATCATTTAAATGTCTCAGTTTAAGAATCATTGCCTTCTGGAACTAGCACATTTCTTCAGCAGAGGAACTGTGATATTTCTCCTCTGGACTACTGCTGTCTTGTGAACAATAAATGTTTATTGAATGACTACCACAGATAAAGAGTAAGCTAATTCAGGTCAATATGAGAAAAAAGGATTCCCATTAACATTTCTATAATTAGCTCTATAATTTAGAAAAGATGCCACATACCTGAGGTAGAACTTGGGACAAATAAGGAATTTAACAAAAGGGAAGAAAGGATAAATGCTATCCGGAGGAATAAAGAGATGAATTGAAAATAGAATTTGAAATAAAACTCAACTGACATTTAAGGTTTCCAGATTGAGATGCACACACTTAGCTGGTTTAAAACCAGCTAGATTGGTTGGGTGCAGTGGCTCATGCCTGTAATCCCAGCAATTTAGGAGGCTGAGATGGGTGGAGCACCTGAGGTCAGGAGTTCGAGACCAGCCTGGCCAACACAAAGAAACCCCGTTTCTACTAAAAATACAAAAAATTAGCTGGGCATGGTGGCGGGCATCCGTAATCCCAGCTACTTGGAAGGCTGAAGCAGGAGAATCACTTGAACCCAGGAGGTGGAGGTTGCAGTGAGCTGAGATCGTGCCATTGCATTCCAGCCTGGGCAACAAGAGTAAAATTCATTCTCAAACAAAACAAAAACAAAGCCAGCTAGATTGAAGCCAAATTACATACCAAAAACAGTTCTGAAAAGGTGCATATGATGAATTTTATCAAGAGATCAGAGGGTTCAAAGTGTTTGAAGACTTTGATTCTGATGGAATAATTTTTGGCTTGGAATAACTGGTAATTTAATTATAAGGATATTAAAATCCCTAACTAAAGGCGTAGACAGGATGGTTATAGAATAATAGTATACAAGTGGAAGGCAATCCATCAAAGTCTCCTGACTACCCTGAAGTTGATAGGAAATTGACATGACTTGTCTCAAGGAACAGAGTACATTGGGGGAACTTCTGAAAAGAAAGGAGTTTCTAACTTTGAAGACATGTCATATGGGTTCAGCATTGCTTCCTAAACAGAAGAAGACTTTTCTTTCTTTCCTTTTTTTTTTTTTTTTTTTTTTTTTTTTCCTGAGACAGATTCCTACTCTGTCACCCACGCTGGAGTGAGTGGCGCGATCTGGGCTAACTGCAACTTCTGACTCCTGGGTTCAAGCGATTCTCTTGCCCCAGCCTCCTGAGTATCTGGGATTACAGGCGTGTACCACCATGCCCTGCTAATTTTTTTGTACTTTTAGTAGAGATGGGGTTTCGCCATGTTGGCCAGGCTGGTCTCGAACTCCTGACCTCATGTGATCTGCCCACCTTGGCCCCCACAAAGTACTGGGATTACAGGCGTGAACCACCGCGCCCAGCCAACAGAGGAAGGATTTTCTAATTGTTGACAGAATTTAGTGAAATCACCAGAGCCTGGAAAATAGGAAAATGAGTTCAAAGGTCATTACCATCATTGAAGATAAGGAAAGACTAAGAAGATTCTCATCACAATGGAGTACTTCTTATTTCTTACAGAAAAAGATTCTTGGCATCAGCCTCTTGAAGGCCTCCTTCATATCTTTATTTCTAAGGCTGTAGATGAGGGAGTTCAACATGGATGTGATGATTCCATAGAAGAGGGAAACCATCTTTCCCCAGTCCTTAGAGGTGGATGAAGGTGGTTGAAGATACATATAAATGGCTGTTCCATAAAAGAGGGACACCACAATCATGTGGGACCCACATGTCCCAAATGCTTTTTGCCGTCCTTCTGCTGACCTGATTTTTAATACTGCTTGAGCTATGAAGCCATAGGAGATGAGGATCAATGTCACTGGAATTAGAAGAATTAGTACACTAAAGAAGAAGAGCTCAGCCTCAATAGGCTTTGTGTCAGCACATGACAACTTGAGAAGTGCAGGCACCTCACAGAAAAAGTGGTCCACTTCCTGGTGACCACAGCGTGGCATGTTAAGAGTCAAGGAAGACTGCAGCACTGAGTTGCCGAAACCAATGAGCCATGAGAAGGCTGCCATCCTTAGGCAGAACCAATAATTCATGATGACTACATAGTGGAGGGGTCTGCAAACAGCCACATATCTGTCAAAGGACATAACAGCCAGAAGGAGACACTCTGTAGCACCTAGGGCCAGGAAGATGATGAGGTGGGCCACACAGCCAGCATAGCTGATGGTCTTTTTGTTGCAACCAATATTTACCAACATATGAGGGACTGTAGTTGTGGTATAGCAGAGATCTAAGATGGAGAGATTAGTGAGAAAGAAATACATGGGAGTATGAAGTTTGGGATCCAGAATGCACACCATCATGATGGACACATTGCCAAATATGGTGATTGTGTATGATATTAACAGGACCACAAAAAGGGGCATTTGTAGCCAAGCCCTATCTGAGAAGCCAAGTAGTATAAACTCTTTTGGGGAGCTCTCATTTTCCCAATTCATGATGACTCACTTATTTCGCACTCCTAAAAAAATGTAAGATAGGAAAGCAATCAATGTTTGTTTATTGAATACTCTTACTGGAGCTGAATTAAATTTAATGAATAGCTCAGCATCAAATACAATTTACAGTCAAGTGGATAAAGCCCTTGTAAAGTATAATATGGTTATGTTTAAGCTTAAAAGTAGTTCCTGTGTTTTCAGTAGTGTTTAAATTACTTTAAAGAAAATCATTACATTTAAATGACATAAAGTATGTAACATATGCATAACACATGGAAAATTGTGAGTTCTCAATGCATTTTATGTTCTCTCCTCTTCTTACCTCCTAACCTATCTTAATAAACAGTTTAGAAAGAAATATTACTTTTACTCCAATTATTTTAAATTTGGCCTGAAAATGCTGAGTAATATAGAGGGTATAAGAGTTGAATCTAAATCTGCAATTGATCTAAAGAAATTTTGCTTCTTTTAGTAACATCTTTACGTGTTTTTTTGAGTTGTGTCTGTCTCCTAAATGCCATGCATGTAGGTCCATTTCCACAAAGAACTACCGTGGGTATTAGTAATAAAATTATGGCTACTTGTGATATATAGTAATGACCACAGATGTCATCTCCCCATCTGCAAATACCTTAATTAAAATAGCAAAACTGATAACATAATTGTTGCTTTACTTAACATGTGCCAGAAACTGCTCAGTGTGTGAAATACATTCTTTGTAATTCTCATCAAACCCCTCACAGTCATGGTTTGCATTTTATTGCTTCTGTGATTCAGTAAGAATAAATAATTTGCACACTCATTATTGGTGAGGTCAAGACTAACACCTAGGATTTAAAGATCATTCTTTCTTTTATACCGTATTTCCCCCTAAATACACAGATAGTACAATAAGAATGACTGCATACAGCACAAAAGTGGTCATAAATTAAAATAGAAACAAACCAAAAGTCATATATTCAAGTTGATTTTCTTCAGTCTGTAAAAGTCATCAGTTATTTAGTTATATTACCTAAGTGCACCTAAGTTTCTTCAGTCTACTTTGCATGTTTAAATGAAATGTCATCGAGGTGGTTTACACCATTTGAATTTGCAAGCATAAAAATAGAAAGATAGACTGAAGAGAGAAGAGAAAATAAGTATTGACACAATTTACCACAGAATAAGATAACTTTTCCAGAGTAAAAACACTGATATATAAAGTATAATTTGATAATGGAATGAATAAATGAAAATGAACAGAGATGACCTTGAGATTTTTAACTTCTTCCATTATATATGATTTTTTTTAGCTATAGATACACATTATTTTTTGGCAAATAACAGTAATACACCTTTGGTTGAAAAATAGAAGAGAATATGAGATTAGGCTTTTTTGAATGTCCATGTAAATTTACAAAATGATAAATATGTAAGGTAATACATACATTAGATAACTTGATTTAGCCACTTTATAATGTACACATATATCAAAACATCATGTTGTACACTATAAATATATACAATTTTTACTCATTAATACAATTTTTTATATCAGAAAAAGACTACACAGAAAGATAAAACATAAATGGCAAGATAGAAAAATATACAATGTTTATGGAAAAAATGGTTATTATATTAAAATATAAATAATTATTACATAATAAATAGAAAAAGATCAAAAGTCCAATGGAAAAAAATGAGCAATGGACATAAATAAGCAGTTTGGGGAAGAAAACAACATAAAATGACAGTGAAAGTATAAAAGATTATAACTTTTTCATTATTGAAGAAACACAAATAAAAACAAGAAGAAAGTATCACATTGTCTTCCTACTTAGTAGCATTAAAAAAAATCACTGTTAAAGGTTAGCTGTTAGGTACAGTGCCTCTGGAGCCAGAATCTGCCAGGGTTTTATTACTGGATTGTGTGATCCTGGGCAATGAATGAACATTCTTGTGCTACATTAAAAAACAATCTCTGACTTGATAAAAAGAGAGTATTGTGAAGCTCAAGTGAGACAATGTATACACATCTGAACTTAGGACCCTGTCCCAAGCATACTAAGCATTTAATGAATGTGAGCTTGATATCAATAGCAGTATCATTAATACTAATCACTAATAAGTCATTAATAGTAATACTATATCATTATCTCAGCTTGTCTTGTATATGAGAAAACAGAAAATTTACTATTGGTGGTTCAAGTGATTGTTATAATTTCATAATATTATAACATGAAATTATTGAATTTCATATTATCACTTTGTCTTTGTTTCTAGCATAATATACTGAGTACATAGTTTTCCAGTAAATGGAAGTTAAATCAATGTAGTAGGTGATATCTGGTTATCTAAAGGGCATGGAATAAAAGAGGACCCTATTCAGTAGCTGTTATTTTCTACTCCTATTTTTTCACGTCCTCTTCTCTTCACATTTTATATGGCACTGATAATTTCTCTTATTTTCTTCATATTTTATATGGCGCCAATTTCTCTTTTACGTTATCAGAAAATGAACTTACCTCTTGACAAGAACATGTTGATTCCACTGTCACGTTGACTTTTTGTCCTATTTCTATTTTCTACATGAATCAAAAGAAATCTTAAATCCCACTGACCGTTTTTATGTACGGAGATATAATGAGCAAACCATTCAAAAGGGTGAAAGGATACGAAGGATTTTTGGAATCACTGAAAATACTTCATATTAATTTCAAAGTTCCCAGGAAACAAATTGGGCATTCTGATTATTTAACATGATGCAACTCAGAGGCAGGGATGTAGGTGAGATGTTCTTGAGAGATCCTTCCCACTCATGGTAATATAATACACTGTATTAGACGCCACTCACCTTTTTTCTAAATGTCCAAGAGATATTCACGCCTTTCTTTGTGCTGTGTTTCAAAGGAAGTCTGGTTCAAAGACAGATTAATAAATGCAGTTGAGTTTTTGAATTTTCAATCTTTACGACATTCTAACTCAACTACCTTTTGCCCACTGACCAAGAATGAAATTAGCATGAAACCTGGACTGCATCAAGAACATGTGAGAAAAATACTTATGAGGAGAGGAAAATGTGTATAGTTAGTGTGTCTTCAGTCATTGGGGCATTTTTGACTGACATGGGCTCTCCTCACCAGGTTCCTAGTGGATTTCTACAACGAGAAGTTGACTTTATAGACATCAACAACATTGGAAGTGTCATGGAAAGAAAGTTATGCCTTTAAATAAAGCCAACCAATATTTATTAAGGGAGTACCACTCACACAATTCTGTGTCCTCTTTTTAGCCCTAGAGATTCTAGAGTCCCTCAAGTTTAATTGGTCATTATGTCCAGAGAGTCAATAAGTCAACTCTATTCCTAACTGGGCTGGTTGCATAATACTACCACATATGTCGTTCACAAATTCTAAAACTAGGGTGAAGATTAGAGTAACAAAAATAAACAATGAAAAATAAATTTAAAGTTGTTTAATTAGGAAAGCACAAGGTTTAATGAACTTATAGCCCCAAATTCCTTTTAAATAGTTGCAAGGTCAAATAGGGAGTCCTATGATGGCGTATAGGGAAAAATGATATTTCTATTTTCACTGATTTTAGTAATAAGTGTTTGTAAACTAAAGCTACCAGAGATCTGTAGGTTAAAAATTATGTCATACAAAGTCACTTAACATATTAATATACACATTGAAATTTAAGGTTAGCATTAATTCACTGGGTCAGAACACACAGAAATTACATGAAATTGCAATAGGGGGAATAGTTTTTGAAAGAAGCAGCTGAGGGCTGGGGCGGTGGCTCACGCCTGTAATCCCAGCACTTTGGGAGGCCGAAGCGGACGGATCACCTGAGGTCAGGAGTTCAAGACCAGCCTGGCCAACATGGTGAAACCTAGTGTCTACTAAAAATACAAAAAATTAGCTGGGCATGGTGGTGGGTGCTTGTAATCTCAGCTACTCGGGAGGCAGAGGCGGGACAGGAGAATCGCTAGAACCTGGGGAGACAAGATAAGTCATTGCCCTCCAGCCTGGGCAACAAAAGCGAAACTCCATCTCCAAAAAAAAAAAGCTGATTTATGCAAGTTATGACTTAATATGTGACTTAATAAGTGCTTATCCTAAGATCTTAGTAAAATAAAGAAGTTGTAATTGAATTGAGCATCAGCCTAGATATAATCTTAAGGAAACTAATGTGCTCGTATTTTAATGTATCTATTTTTCCTCATTTTTCTTTTTGTGTAGAATATGATCATTTTCTAAATTAGGACATTTTCTTAGCCTGTGATTTTTGTAACTATATGACATCTGTTGTAGCTAATAATTTATATATAAGTTTAATAGACATATATACATACTTTCTATATGTAATATATATTTGTAATTAGTTTTCAAATACAATTTGTTGTGCTTGGATTATAATAGAAAAGTTATTTTATTTTTTGTGGTTTTACTTTTTTAAAAAAATTTTACCTTAAGTTCTGGGATACATGTGCAGAACATGCAGTATTGTTACATAGGTATATATGTGCCATGGTGGTTTGCTGCACCTATCAACCTGTCATTTAGGTTTTAAGCCCCTCATGCATTAGGTATTTGTCCTAACGCTCTCCTCCCTGTGCCGCCACCCTTCAACAGGCCCCAGTGTGTGATGTTCCCCTTCCTGTGTCCACGTGTTCTTATTTTCAACTCCCACTTATGAGTGAGAACGTGTGGTGTTTGGATTTCTGTTCCCGTGTTAGTTTGCTGAGAATGATGGTTTCCAGCTTCATCCATGTCCCGGCAAAGGACATGAACTCATTCTTTTCTATGGCTACATGGTGTATATGTACCACATTTTCTTTATCCAGTCTGTCACTGATGGGCATTTGGGTTGGTTCCAAGTCTTAGCTGTTGTAAATGGTGCTGCAATAAACATATGTGTGCATGTGTCTTTATAGTAGAATTATTTATAATCCCTTGAGTATATACCCAGTAATGTGATTGCTGGGTTAAATAGTATTTCTGGCTCTAGATCTTTGAGAAATCGCCACACTGTCTTCCACAATGGCTGAACTAATTTACATTTCCACTAACAGTGTAAAAGTGTTCCTATTTCTCCCCAGCATTGCCAACATCTGTTGTTTCCTGACTTTTTTTTTCCCAATGAAATGATTTGAATGGACACTTAAAACTGTTCATGAGTATACAAGATGATAAAGAAAACATTTATTAAATGAATAAAAGCTAAAAAGTGAAATGTTACAAGCAAATATCAAATATCCCGAATCTCTAGAATTTTATTGTTGAATATGCCTTAGTTATTACAAGTGGTCTTTATTCTTGGTGACTTAGGGATTCCCAAGAAATGTGCAATCACTCCTGGCAACTCAAAGTAGTAATAAGTTAACCTCAAGAGAACAATCTTGGTTAAAAAAAAATTTTAAGTGTATTTTATAAATTATTATTATTTTTATTTTACTTTAAGTTCTGGGATATATGTGTAGAACGTGCAGGTTTGTTACATAGGTATACATGTGCCATAATGGTTTGCTGCACCTATCAACCTGTCATCTTTAAGCCCTGCATGCATTAGGTATTTGTCCTAATGCTCTCCCTCCCCTTGCCCCCCACCCCCTGACAGGCCCCGGTGTGTAAAGTTCCCCTCCCTGTGTCCATGTGTGCTCATTGTTCAACTCTCACTTATGAGTGAGAACATGAGGTGTTTGGTTTTCTGTTCCTGTGTTAGTTTGCTGAGAATGATGGCTTCCAGCTTCATCCGTATCCCTGCAAAGGACGTGAACTCATTCTTTTTTATGGCTACATAGTATTCCATGCTGTATAATTGTATTAATAGCACATCCAGGGGTGCAGCATTGCTACATGTCTTCTCTATCCAGGCACACTGATCGATCAGGGTAATTTATTTATTCATTGTTTGCAAGGTTCTATGCCAGCCAGCCAGTGCCAAGGACTTCAGAGATAAGCCACAATACCTGCCTATGTGTCTGGTTGGAACATGAACATGGAAACAAACCATTTAATCATTTACTCAATAAATCTTTATGTCATGGTGATAAGTGTCAGGCACTGTCATGTGCACAGGAGATATATTGATAATCAAAAGAAATAAAGTCTCTGTTCTAATGAAGCTTACATACTAGTAAGGAGATAGAAAACTAATAATAAGTAAATAGATATATAATACAATGTCAGATAGTGATAAATGCTATGAAGAAAAAGAAAGCAGGGTAAGAGAATCAAAATTAGCTGAGGCTGTTACTTTAGACAGCATGGTCAGTCAGTTTCTGTGAGGGGGCAACATTTGACCTGAACAGAGTTAGGGGTTCTCATTCACTTGGAAGATTCTAAACTGAGATTTCGAGTTTGAATTTTTTTTGAAATGTTGCCAGTTAATGCATCAATAATTTATCAGCCGGTGTTCATTATATAACGTTATACTTTAACAAGGACACTAAGCACTAAACTATTTAAAGATCTTCGTCTTTACAAAGGTACTACAAAGGAAACTACAAAGACTGTAGTTTCTGAAGTTAAGAAATGCAGACCGATCCTTTGTTTCTGCATTCATCCATTTGCATTGCTATAAAGGAATACCTAAGACTGGGTAATTTACAAAGAAAAAAGGTTTATTTTGGCTCACAGTTGTTTCCTGACTTTTTAATAATATATATATTTTATATATATTATATATATATATATATTTTTTTATCATTGGGATTAAATTTTGGCCTGGTGTTCACTTTCTTTATATATTTATGAACAATTTAATAATGAGGTGAAATAGCCTTAAGTCTGATATATGATGCACCCACATATAAATGGAAATGGCATGCACAAAGACACTTTACTATTGGAACTGTATTGGAAAATTTATGAAATTTTAGGTAAAATTGCACCTAAAATTGTGTTATTAGTGACTGTAAGTAGCAATGCTAAATTTATTGTACTTGATGAATGAATGTATTTAGGCTAGTCATGGTTACTTTGGTTTAAATGTCTAAATAACATCTTTAGTTTTAAAAATGTGTTTGTAATTTGTACTATTGACAGGAGGATATTCTTGGACTGCAGCGGTTATTGGCAATGTGTGATTTGTGTTTTCTTACTTTATAGAATTATCTAATGTGATATGCTGATTTTTACAGGTAATATTTAGATATTTCCAATAATTGTATATTTGACAACCTACTAAAATGATTTGCTTTGGGAAAAAACTGAAAAACAATACTCAAACATAGGCTGCCTGTAAGAGGCTAACTTTAACTTAAAGAACACACATTGACTGAAAAAAATATTTCATGCAAGTAGAAACCAAAAGACAGCAGGGGTAGCTCTACTTATATTAGACAGACTTTAAGTCCAAAACTGTAAAAAGAGACAGAGAAAGTCATTACATGATAAAAGGGTCAATTCATCAAAAGGACGTAACAATTGTAAATATATATACACCTAATACTAGATCATCTAAATGTATAAAGAAAGTATTAATAGACCTAAAAAGAAACAGACTGCAATACAGTAATAGCAGGGTTTTTCAACACTTCACTTTCAACAATGAACATGTCATCTAGACAGAAATCAATAAGGAAACACTGGACTTGAAACGCACATTAGATCAAATGGACCTAACAGACATATATAGAACATTCCATCCAACAGCAACAGAATACTCATTCTTCTCAAGTGCAAATGGGACATTATCCAGGATCAAATATTAGGGAACAAAATAAGTCTCCACAGTTTTAAGAAGATCGAAATCATATCAAGTATCTTTTCTGACCACAAAGTTATGAAAGTAGAAGTGAATAATAGGAGAAAATTTAAAATATTTACAAACGTGGAAATTAAACAACATGCTCCTGAATAAACAATGGGTTAAATAAAAAATCAAAAGCAAAATTAAAAAAAATCTTAAGACAGATGAAAATGAAAACACAACATACCACAACTTATGGCATGTAGCAAAAGAAGATATTAGCAAGAGGAATGTTTGTAGTAATAAATGCCTATATTAAAAAAGAAGAAAGATCCCAAACAACCTAATGTTACATTTCAAGAAACCAGAAAAAGAGAAGAGCAAACTAATCCCAAAGTTAGCAGAAGGAAGGAAATAACAAAGATCAGAGCAGAAATAAATAAGAAGCTAGAAAACAATAGAATGCATTCACAAAACTAAGACTTGAATTTTTGAAAAGATAAAAACAATTGGCAAAACTTGAGTAGACCAACTAAGAAGAAAAGAAGACTCTAATAAAGTCAAAAATGAAAGAGGAGACATTACAATTGATACTACAGAAGTACAAAAGCTCATAAAAGAATACTATGAACAATTTTACACCAACGAATAGGGTAACCTAGAAGAAATGGTTAAATTTCTAGAAACATAACAAAAATGAATCATGAAAAAAACAGAAAATCTGAACAGACTAATAATGAGTAAGGAGGTTGAATCAGTAATAAAAGTCTTCTACCAAACAAAAACCCAGAATATGATGGATTTTGCATTCATGGTTTGGAAGAATTAATATTATTAAAATATGTGTACTACCTAAAGTGATACACAGATTCAGTGCAATTTCTATAAAAGTTCAATGACTTTTTTGTTTCACAGAAATAGAAAAAGCAATTTAAAAATTCATATGGAATGACAAAAACCCCTAAGTAGCTGAAGCACTTTTGAGCAAAAAGAGCAAAGCTGGAGGCATCACACTACCTGTTTCAAAATATATTACACAGTTATAGTATTCAAAACAGAAAGGTAGTGGCATAACAACAGACACACGGACCAATGTAATGTGATAGAGAGCCCAGAGATAAACTCATGCATTTGTGGTTAACTGATTTTTGCCAAAGATGCCAAGAATGAACACACTATGGAGAAAGGGCAGTATCTTTAATAAATGATGCTGGGAAAATCAAATACCCAAATACAGAACAATGAAATTGAAACCTTATTTCACACCATATGCAAAAATCCTCTAAAAATGGTTTAAAGATTTAAATGTGTGACCAGAAAATGTAAAATTACTAGAAGAAAACATAGGGAAAAATGTTCTTGAAATTAATCTTGGCAATAATTTATTGGTGATGATCTCAATAGCACAGGAAACCAAAGCAGAAATAGACAAATGGGATTACCTCAAACCAAAAACCTTCTGTATAACAAAGTAAATAACGGATTGAAGAGACAACCCATGGACTGGGAGAAAATATTTACAAACCATACATGGCTAATATCCAAAATATGTAAGAAATGCAAACAACTTAAATTTGTTAGCAAGAAAACAAAGAACCCCTTTTAAAACTGAGCAAAACACTTAATGGACATCTTTCAAAAGATGACATAAAAGACTAACAGATACATAACAAAATTTCTCAACATCAAGGAAATACAAATTAAAACCACAATAAGATATCACCTCATACCTGTTAGAATGGCTATATCAATAAAATAAGAGTTAATAAGTATTAGCAAGGATGTGGAGAAGGGAATCCTTATATACTAATGGTAGTAATGTAAATTAATACAGCCATTATTGAAATCAGCATGGAGGTTCCTCAAAAAAAGATAGAATTACCATATGATCCAGCAACTATATTTCTGAGTACATAGCCAAAGAGATTGAAATTAATATGTTAAAAATATATTGGTAGATTTTCCTCTAATTTGGTCTTAACGTCTCTCTTTGAAGAGGAGCCAGAAACTCTAGCCCTGCTCTGATGGGCTCCAGTGGAGGTGGTTGTGGTTGTGGATGTTTTCAGTGTTTTTTTCGTGGAATACTTCTATATCCTGATGGAGAGCTAATGCCTAATTGTCCTATTTATGACCAGGTGTCCCTCTCACTGGAAACTCATTTTCACTGGCAGACACCCTTGTGGCTCTTGTCTGACTAGTGTGTCCAGTTCATTCCTACCAAGATAACCACTCTTTAAGAGAGCCTTGTCCAGAAAAGAAGTTAATTTCACGTATGTCAGTCACGCGAGACGCAAGTAAAAAAAAACACGTAATAGAAGTAGTTTTATTACTTAAAGATCCAGAGAGAAGAAGGAAACTTTCCTCACAGGCCTAACGGGAGAAGGGGCAGCCCTCAGAGACATGCATGCTCAACCAGTGGGTGGGTAGCAAGGGAGAGTGAGTGACAGCCGAGAAGGCCGAAGCCTTTACTGGGGTACACAGCATTTCCTAAGCAGGGAGTAACTGATTGCTGGGTTTAAAGCAAGCAGGCATGAGTTCTTGGGAGTTATGTTGTATTGAGAGGTGTTCACTACTGCAAGTCTGCAGTCCATGTGGGGTGTGGGGATCAGTGGGATAAGTCAAACAGGTTGTATCTAGGTGCTCCACAGGAAGGTGGAAACCAAGAGGCCAAATATCTGGATTGACCACCTGAAGAAACTGGGAGAGGAGAACTCGAAATTGTGTTAAGGGTGACTAAGCCCTGCTTCTGGTATGAGAAAGTTCAACTTATATTGAAAATAAACACTGAGGCAACATAAAATCATAAGAATTCACTACAGATATTTGCACTACCATGTTCATTGTAGCATTATTCACAATAGCTGAGATATGGAAGGAACTTAAATGCCCATCAATGGATAAACAGATAAATATATAAAAGGGATATAATGTGATATATATGAGCCACATTATCTATATAAAATGGAATACTATCCAGCCTTAAAGAAAAAAGGAAATTCTGTCTTTTCAACAACATTCATGAACCTGCAGGACATTATGCAAAGTGAAAGAAGCCAGACACAGAAAGACAAATACCACGTGATCTCACTCATATGTGGAATCTAAAAAAGATAAACTCATGCAAGTGGAGAGTAGAATATAGCTACCTTGGGGGTAGGGGATGGGGAAAGGGGAGATTTTAAACACAAGATATTTTTTAACCTTTTGCAGGAAAAATCTTGGAATTGAATTTAAAAGACAACTGGGATGGCATAAATAATATAGGTCAGTCTCAAAGAGCACGTCATTAGTAAGGAATAGATATACAGTTTAGTCTTTATGTATTCTAGTTTTTCAGTTGAATGGCTCTGAAATCACTCCTTTTTTCCAGTTGTCTTGTAAATTTTACCCTTAGCCCCATGGAAAACTGAAAAAAAATCACATGGCTCAGTAAAACCCATTCCCTTTATTGTAAATATAACTCACAGCATCTTTTCCCATATTTGTAAGTGATAAATTCACTGTCATCACAGTAAGACTATAACATCATACTGAAGATATTTCTGTGAAGAGTTTTGTACTGAGAACACCACACCAGGACAACTTGAAGGGCATTAATTGCAACTTTGGGATTTATACTCCCAAAGGCCCCAGTCAATGAAAGAGTATCCCATTATTCTTTTTGGTTCCATAAAGATTCCATTTACTCTGGGATAAAGGGTCCATCCCCTGATACCTTGAATGCTCTAAAGTATTCCCACATTCTGCTAAAAAGCAGATCTTTTGGACAAACTCAGGCTCTCTTTTCTGTAGCAATGACAATCACAGTTATTTCCAGACTCTGTTCTCCATAGTTAGATTTAAAACATTGGCAAAAATGTTATAAGAAGGCAATTAGGTTGATGTTTCTAGGTTGCATGGCAACCAGAGAGCCCCTTCATCAGTTTATACATGATGAGGTCGTAGGCCAGGTAGAGAGTGACAGGGAACAGGGACAAACACAGGAAGGTCAGTACTGAAAGAAGTTGGCGCACTTCTTAAGGGGTGTACAGCTTCTGTATTTCAAAATTGCAGGAAGTGTAGATTTTAAATGTTCTTACTACAAAAAAATGATGTGTGTGAGGTGATAGGTACATTAACTAGCTTAATATAATCATTCTATGATGTATATACATATCAAAACATTACAATGTACTCCATACATATATACAATTATTACTAGTCAATGAAAAAGTAAGAAAACAAACCAGATATAGTATAAAGGAATGAATATGACACGAATTGGGAAAATGTCTCTTAGTAATAATTGGGGAAAGAAGAGACACTCAGCCATCCATTTTCCCTACAGTGTTTGATTTAAAAGAAGAGAGAAGATATTTTATTCCATAGTTCATAAAAGCTACATTTGATAGGGTCTTCATTTCCCTCTTTTCCTCCAAGAAGAAAATCGAAGCTGCAAACTTTTCTCTACGTGAGTTCTGGGTTTTTTTTTTTTTTTGTCCCTTATTTCCTATCCTTTTTATCGACTCTGGAAGAATGCTGAAAGATGGTTTATACAACAGAAAAATATCAGATTTCACCTTTTAATTACTGTAGTAAGGAAGTCAGGCAGCTGCATTAGGAAAGAAAATTATACCTGCATTAGCAAAAGTATCCACAACATTTGAGTTCAAGTATCTTACAGAATATTACCTTTCAACCTAGCGAAATTTTTAAAAAAATTCTTGCAATTTTTCCATGATTTCTCAAAAGGTAATGATCATTTCATTATCAACAATATGGAAAAGTGTACAGATATCTTTGTACCTGTCTGGAGCATCTGCACAGACTTGGCCCAAGTTCAACGTTCCTAGCTCTCCAGCTGTAACTCAACTAATTAGGCAAACCCTTACATCTTTTTCAAGAGTCAAGATTAGAATATTTGAGTTGTTAAAAGTTTTTCAAAACACTGAAGGTGAGTTGGGTGTAAATAAATTTGTCTTTTGTCATATTTTATCAGAGAGTATGAGAGGAAGAGTTGGCTGTGGCAGGAGGGGAGCAGAAGGGGGATGGCAATGCTATTTAGGAATATTGAAGAAAACCCAGAAATACAAATTATAAGTTGTGACTCAGAATTTAAAGTATAGTTCAGTTATTGGCCTAAAGCATATAAAATTTTTTAGAAACCACATTTAAGTCTTCTTGTCCCTGTCTAACAATCCTGTGTTATACATTCTTTCAATTTCAAATGCCACATTCTGACCTCCTCTTCACTGTTGTGCCTCAAAGCACTCTTCCTTTCTCTCTTACACCTCCCGGTGTTTTTGTTAGACTCTGTAATCTTTCTGTCTTCCAATAATAATTATACCCCCATGTAACTTTGGAAGCACTCTATCACTGATATCTCTACTCTATTTCACTTTATTAATCAGCTTTGCTTATATTGTGAATTTTTATAAGTTGGTGTGTGTGTGCATGTCTGTTTAAACCTTCATTTGCATGTTATTTTATTCGTCTAGAAATAAACTGCTAGCATAAATAAATGAATATCATTTAATTCTTTCTATAATCATATCCAATTATTTCTTTTCAGTTCATATTAATATTTTAAAGTGACTACCTAATTGCTCTTTAACATGGGAAGTTCCTATCTATAAGTAAGATTATTATGGCTGCAGTTATTCCTTTCTCTGTAACTGCAAAATTGGAAATAGTCTGAAAATGCAAAAAAAAATCAATTTAACTTTTTAAAATAAAAAATTATTTTCTTAAATATTGTCTTTCTGATTATGGAATATCTTAGTCTTCATTTATCCAAATGTTAACTCAAGGATGTATATAAAAGAACTCAGTAACTTGAAAAGCTATTACTTGTATCCACAGCTGGACAAATATCTCAATGAAGCATACAAAGGAAACTGTATAAAAATTCTACTGCCATAATGGTGCACACTATCTGGAATTGGGATACTTTTTTCTCCAATCTGTTTGCAAGTGAGCAGTTGGCAATGCATGGACAGACTTTGAGTTTATGCGATTCTTTCTTTAGGTACAGGAAAAATAAGAATGTTGATGAAAAAAAATGCAAGTTTTGAAGACTTCTTTATTCTACTTGGATTTTCTAACTGGCCTCATCTGGAAGTAGTTCTCTTTGTGGTTATCTTGATCTTCTACTTGATAACACTGATAGGAAACCTGTTCATCATCATCCTGTCATACCTGGACTCCCATCTCCACACTCCCATGTACTTCTTCCTTTCAAATCTCTCATTTCTGGATCTCTGCTACACCACCAGCTCTATCCCTCAGTTGCTGGTGAATCTCTGGGGCCCGGAAAAGACCATCTCTTATGCTGGTTGTACAGTTCAACTTTACTTTGTTCTCGCACTGGGAACCGCAGAGTGTGTCCTACTGGTGGTGATGTCCTATGATCGTTATGCAGCTGTGTGTAGACCTTTGCATTACACTGTCCTCATGCACCCTCGTTTCTGCCGCTTGTTGGCTGCGGCTTCTTGGGTAAGTGGTTTTACAACCTCAGCACTTCATTCCTCCTTTACTTTCTGGATACCCCTATGTAGACATCGCCTAGTGGATCACTTCTTCTGTGAAGCTCCAGCACTTCTGCGATTATCATGTGTTGATACCTAGGCAAATGAGCTGACCCTCATGGTCATGAGCTCCATTTTTGTTCTCATACCTCTCATCCTCATCCTCACTTCCTATGGTGCCATTGCCCGGGCTGTACTGAGCATGCAATCAACCACTGGGCTTCAGAAAGTGCTTAGGACATGTGGAGCCCATCTTATGGTTGTATCTCTCTTTTTCATTCCAGTCATGTGCATGTATCTCCAGCCACCATCAGAAAATTCTCAAGATCAAGGCAAGTTCATTGCCCTCTTTTACACTGTTGTCACACCTAGTCTTAACCCTCTAATCTACACTTTCAGAAACAAGGATGTAAGAGGGGCAGTGAAGAGACTAATGGGGTGGGAATGGGGGATGTGACAGGGAAATCATGTTGGCTGTTGTTTTTCCTAGGGTCTTATCCATTTTGAAAGGTTGTTTCCCTGCTTCTTTGTGATTTGTGTTTCATCTAACAGCTCACAAAACATGGAATAGTTCAGTTCCCCCATTTGTTGCTCTGTTTAATATTTAGTTCTGAAATATTATGTTGAGATAAAGGTTTTGATTAGTACCATTTTGTTCTTTTACAATTCTATATTTATTTCCATGAAAATTGTGGACTGTGGTTTCAACATAAATAAATGTGTGTGTGAATAATTATGAGGAGATTATTTAAAAAATATTGGCAATATTTCTGACAATGTGCTAAATTATGAACTGACCATTGATATGTATAGGAAGAGAAGGGCAATATTGCAAAGATGTAGGCTGAAGAAGTTTTTGGTTATTAAATAAACCTTAAATGAAGCTAAAAATAGTCACAGCAAAGAAAAATAGTAAACATAATGAATAACACCATTTATTATATGGTAAAGGATATGTCATAATTTTTTGGTTGAAGTTCACTTTTTAAAGACACTAAATTATATAATTTATCCTGTAGGTCTGCATTCTTGTCACATTGAACAGTAAACTAATATCTCTTTAAAATGGCTGATTCGTTCATCTGTCCATTTATTCATTAACTTATTCTTCATTAGCTAAATCTTACTGGACATGTACTCTCTCCCAGTTTGTGAAATTCTTGGTAACATGTATAAATATAACATACTTTGTCTGAACAGAATGCACTCTCTATCGGGAAAAATGGCAACATAAGATAAAAGATGAAGTATCTGTACATGGCTTAATTTGTCACTGGGGTTAATGCTAATAAATTAAGATAGCTTTTAAAAATCAGAAACAATATACTCTGATTACTCTTCAGATTGTATACATCTTTCACTTTTTAAAAATCGAAAGCAAAACAATAAGTTTGATAATAAACTCTGATAATAAATTCATAGCTCCTGTAGGAAGACAGTGCTATTAAATGAAACAAAGCAGAATATGTGCTTAATTTGCTTTAGTTGGCCTAGTTAATGACATATTAAAGATAGCTTAAAACTCTTAACATCCTTGTTCTTTGCTGAATAGCATTATTAAAAAAATTTCTTTATTTTGATTTTATTTTTTCCAGCTTTACTGAGGCACAAATAAAATAACATATATTTAATGTGCACAATGTGATTATATATAAATCAAACCAAATTGTGAAATTATTACCACAGTCAAATTAACACATCCATCATCTCACATCGTTACTGTGTGTAGGGGGAGCGGGGAGGGTCAGGACACTTAAGATCTAATCTCTAAGCAAATTTCAAGTATACAGTACAGTATTATTAACTATAGTCACCATAATCTACATTAGATCTCCAGAATGTATTCATCTTATGACAGAAAGTTTGTACAATTTGGCTGTCTCTCCACTTCCCACCCTCCAGCCCATGGCAACCACCATTCTATTCTCTGCTTCTATGGGTTCAGTTTTTTTATTTTTTTGATACACGGTCTCACTCTGTCACACAGGCTGGAGTGCAGTGGTGCGATCTTGGCTCACTGCAACCTCTGCCTCCCGGCTTCAAGCAACTCTCCTGCCTCAGCCTCCCCAGTAGCTGGGACTACAGGCACCCGCCACCACGCCCAGCTAATTTTTGTATTTTAGTAGAAACTAGTTCTCACCATGTTGGCCAGGCTGGTCTTGAACCCCTGACCTGAAATGATCCACCTGCCTTGGCCTCCCAAAGTGCTGGGATGACAGGCGTGAGCCACTGTTCCTATCCGAGTTCAATTTTTTTAGATTCCACATGTAAGTGTTATCATACATCTTTTGTCTTTCTGTGTGTGGTTTATTTCACTTAGCACAATATCCTCCAGTTCATCCATGTTATAACAAATGGCAGGATTTTCTTTTTATTGGCTGAATAATATTTCTCGCTGTGTGTGTGTGTGTGTGTGTGTATGAGATCACATTTTCTTTATCCATTCCTCCATCAATGGATGCTTAGGTTGTTTCTTCATCTTGGCTGTCATGAATAGTGCTGCAATGAACATGGGGGCATAGATACCTCTTCGGAATACTTACTTCATTTTTCTTGGATAAGTACCCAGTGGGATTATTGGGATCACATCACATCTCACACAGACTTCACAAAATATGAGAACATAGATTCCTCCTGCCTCCGTGGAAATCTTACCATTTGTAATATGTCATGTGTCACTCCAGCTTCTCAAGATCTACAAGACTCTTTTCTTTTCAAATTTATTGAAGTATAATTTATGTACAAAGAAATCTACACATTTTAAGTATATAGTTCAATGAATTTTTTTATATTTTCTTTTTATTGTATTTTTGTTAGACATCAAATATTGGATTTAATAAGCTATCGGAAAAAGTGTATAATTATAATCCTTTATACTGTAACAGTACTACACAACTTATAAAGCACATTAATATATTTTGTTTCATTAGAATTTTGGTCATCATAGAAACCCTAAAGCTTTGTTGACTATTAGCCTCTTGAAACAAAAGAAAAATAAGATATAAACATTATTGTTCCTATGTTAAAGATTAGGAAATTGAGTCTCAGAGAGATTAAGTAGTCTTGTCTAAATGCACGCACTAACAAATGGCAAATTTGAGTCTCAAAGACAGGTTTCTCAATATCAAATTGAAAGAATAGTTCAGTGAGTTTGACAAATGTATAATTGTGTAAATGCCACCACAATCAAGATTATAGGACATTTCTATTACTCCCCAAAGAACTTCCGTTTTGTAGTCAACTTTCCCCTTTTAGTCATAGCCTGAGGCAGCATTAATTTTCTCTAAATGTACTTGGTTTTTCCCACTTTTAGAATTTCAAATAATTGCAATCATGCAGTGTGTAATCTTTGGGTGTGGCTTGTTTCATTTAGCATGATGTTTTTGACATTTATTATGTTGCCACATGTATCAGTTACTTTTTCCTTTTTATTGCTTGTTAGAACTCCATTGTACGAATGTGCGACAATTTATCCATTTATCTGTGAAGGGCTTTGGGAGTATTTAAAATTTTTGGCTATTATGAATAATGCTGCTATGAAAATTTGTATACAAGTGTTTGTGTGGATGCATGTTTTCACTTAATTTGGGTAAATACCTTTTATTTGTACCTCTCCAGGAGGACCACATGCTTAGTGTATATTATCTTTATGAGATACTGCAAAAATGTTTTCAAGTGGCTGTTCTATTTTCACTTCAAACAGCAGTGTATGAGAGTTCCAAATGAACTCACATTCTTTCTAATACTTGGTATTGTCAGTTTTTATACTTTTCACCTCTCAAGTTAGGTTACCTGTGGCTATAATTTGCATTGAGGGGTGTTGACATTGACCATCCTCTTGTGTGCTTTTCATATGCTTCATATATGTTATTTTGTGTAGCTTCTGTTCAGATATTTTACTCACTTTAAAAATTGGGTCATTTGTCTTCTTATTGTTGAATTTGAAGTTCTTTGTATACTCTGAACTCAAGTCCTTGGTCAAACAAATCTTTTGCAAATAGAATACTGTCATATCTTTCAAAGAGAAAAATTTTAACTTTAATAAAATACAGTGTGTCATTTCCACAGAAAAAGCCTGGTGGCATTTTGATTGGGGATTGCATTGAATTTATAGACCAATTGGAGAAGAACTGGCAACTTGACAACATTGACTTTTCTGATCTGGGGACATGATATAGATCTCCATTTACTTACATCTTATTTTCTTTCAGAAGCATTTGAGGTTTTCATTGTATAGCTATTGTCCATATTTTGTTAAAGTCACCTCTATGTATTTCATGTTTTTAGATACCACTATAAATTGTATAGAAATATGACTGATTTTTTTCCATCGTCTGTTTTATTTTATTTTATTATTATTTAAGTTCTAGGGTACATGTGAACAACGTGCAGGTTTGTTACGTAGGTATACATGTGCCATGTTGGTTTGCTGCATCCATCAATTAATCATTTACATTAGGTATTTCTCCTAATGCTATCCCTCCCGCATCCCCCCCACCGCCCCCACAGGCCCTGGTGTATGATGTTTCCCCCCAGGTCCAACTGTTCTCATTGTTCAATGCCCACCTATGCGTGAGAACATGTGGTGTTTGGTTTTCTGTTCTTGTGATAGTTTGCTGAGAATGATGGCTTCCAGCTTCATCCATGTCCCTGCAAAGGACATGAACACATCCTTTTCGATGGCTGCATAGTACTCCATGTTGTATATGTGAATTTTCTAGGCCTTAACTCCAACTGAGCTTCCCATCTACAATGCTTTAATAGTTTGTGATCTACTCTAATTCACATTCCTCCCATACAAAGCACTCAAATTAACAGAAGCTCAACAGAGATCATTTAGTGTCTTTTATTCCTTTTGATTCCTCAGATGTGACTTTCAATGTGTTTTATTTATCTGAGTGTGTATTGTAGAGAAAAAAGTTGAGGGTTGCTTCCTTAGAAATACTTTGCTGTAATTAAATCATGTTATGCCAGCTGTATTTTCACAAGTTACTAACATCACACCTAAAAATGTTAACATTTGCTGGCACCCAGTAGATTGGCAGGGGCCAAAAACTCTCCTACAATTCTAGTTACCAAAACATGAAAAATATTGGAGCTTGGTACAATCTCCTACAGACCAGGATATCAGACATTTCCTGGATTTTGATAACTGATTGAATTCTGCTAGTCCCCACAGGTTGTAGGATCACTGGTCAAATTCCTCTCCAATAAGATAGAGAAGTTTAGACATATGATTATATGACTATTTAATCATATTTATCTTAAAAATAATATTTAATATATTTTAAAGTAAACTGGAATGATATATACCAAGCTCATGGTAGTTGTCTCTGGATTTAGTGTTGGGTCAGAGAGTGACAGTTGAAGGGGATATGAACTTTATCTGTGATACTTTATGTGCTAAAAATTCTGAAAATAAAAATGACAAAAGTTATGGTTGATGATTCTGAATGATGGGAACATAAGGGTTTATTTTTAATATTTTAAATATCTAAAATAAAGGATGAAGAAATAATATAGAATGACTTGTTAAAATATCACTTCAAATTAAAATTCACTATAATGGTAATAGCAGCTAACATGTATTGAATGATTATGCACTAGGCATCGAGGATAATGTTTACGTATTTTTCACATGGAGTTTTCACAACAATCAAGACTACTGAAGCCAAGACTGTTTTCAGTTGCTTCACATAAGTGGACAGGAAAATACCTGATCATGCTCTTAAAAGTACTGACTTTAAAATATAATTGTATTGTAAATGTGACTTGATTTTCATACCAAGACTTTGTCTGGTACACATGGAATATATCACCTAGACACAATGTAACAATTGAAAAATCTTCATTAGTTTATAAACTCACGATGTGCTTTTTTTTTTAAACATGGGATGTAGGCTAGCTATCACAGCTAATTTAGCTTTTTTATATATTTCTGCAAAGCTTTTAACAAGACATCAAAAGAAATTATTGATAACAATATTTTGGAAATATTAAATAATTTTGTTAAAAGTTTTCTGAGTTTGGTAGTGACCTTCTGAGTATAGTTTGAATGGTCTTCAAAGGTAATTTTTAACACTTTTGCAGGGCTGAACTTGGCCTTGAATTTTAGAGATGTTAGACACAATTAAAAATTCAAATTAATAAAACAAATATGTATAATGTAGTCATTATATTTCCTTTTAAAAAATGTTTCATGCCTTTTCCCATTCCCAAATTAGACTACCTAACAAGCTATATCTCAAATTTGGCCTCTAGCATACTGAAGAATTGGGGAAGAGGTTTCAGGTAACTCAAGATAACCCATTCCCTTCCCTGCAGATACAGCTCAAAGTATTTTTCTCTGCTATGGCTGGACTATAGATTCCTTGTCATCCTCGTACAACAATGTGGCATCATGCCAAGAACATCACTGAGAAACTGTTCTAACCAGGATAACTCCTTGAAGGGCATTAATTGCTACTTTGGGATTTACCCTCCCAGTGGCCCAAGTCAAGGAAAGCAAGTCACATTCTTTTGTTTCCAAAAAGGGCCCATTGACTCTAAGATAAAGACCCATCCCTTGATACACTGAAAGCTCTAATAAGTTTATCTTTTGGGTAAAACTAAATTTTTTTAGTAGACTCAGAGCTTTCTCTTCTGTAGCAATGATAGTCATAGCTACATTCAGACTGTTTTCCTAATTGATGTAGTAGATGAGGGAAGTGTAGGCATTTATGTTGGTGATTTCAAGGTGATCAAAATCAGAGATCAGATCAGTCTGTGCATGATGAGGGCATCAGCTAGGAAGACAATATACAGGGAATGTGGACAGATACAGGAAGGACAGAGTGAAAGGCATTGTTTGAGTACTGCTTAAGTACTAGGTAATATATAAAGAAATATTATGGTAAGAATAAAAAAACTTGGCCAGTGACATGGGGATGGGGAAAAGAGATTATTTTCTCCCTCCGTTATACCTGATTTCCAAAACTAGAGAGGATCACTTATTCCTAGTCCATGAAAGCAACTTTTAACTTTTAATTTTTGTGGGTACACAATAGGTGTATGCATTTATGGGGTACATGAGATTTTTTTTGATAATTTCTTTCTTTTTATTTTTTGTAGAGACATGGTCTCACTTCATTGCCCAGGCTAGTCTCGAACTTCTGGGCTCCAGAGATCCGCCCACCTTGGCCTCCCAAAGTGTCAGGATTACAGGTGTGAGCCACGGCACCCGACCCAGGTATTTTTGATACAGGCATACAATGTGTAATAATCACAGCAGGCTAAATGGGGTATCCATCACCTCAAGCATTTATCCTTTCTTTGTGTTAAGGATAACTTAAACTTTTGATATGGCTTTTGATAAGGCTTTTAACTTTTGATAAGGCTTTTATTTTCTGCTCCACCAGGAAGAAGAAAATTAACCCAGAAAAATTCCTACCTTTTCCTTGCTTGCATCTGGTAAGTTTTTGTTTGTTTGCTTCTTATCTCATATCTCATTCTAACCTCTCTATGTAAGATTGCTCAAAGATGGGTCATGCAATTGGCAAAGGTATCTCACAGCTAAATGTTGTTTTAGTTAATGTAATAAATTATCGAGGCAACTGTACAAGAAAGAAGAAAATTTTATCTGCATGAGAGAAGGTAACTATAACATTTGTGTTCATATTTCTCATGATGTATTATCTCCTATTCTAGAGAAATTTTTAAAAATCTCTTGGAAAATTTTCATCTTCCCTCAAGGGCTGTGACCTCTAAGTCAAGTAATCTTCATGATTTACTCTTTGACTATTGCTGCTTTTTGATTCAGCTATAGCTTTTAAAATTTTCTTTTAAAACAATGTGCAGACTGATTTTCCTGGATGGTTGTTTAAGTTGTTGAAAGTAATCTAGATTAGTGTAACAACTGGCTAATGATTATTTACATTACCAAGTCTGTTAAAAGGTCTGAGGTCAATCTTTTAATCTTGGGACCAAACTGAATGTTCCAAACTTTTCTGCTGAAACTCAACCAATTAGCTACTCCTGACATTTCTTTCAGGCATTGAATTTATAAAACATGAGCGATTAAGAGACCCCTAAAAGAGGCAATCACAGGTGGCCCCACAATGATTTCTTTCTTCCTGTGCCATAGCCAATTGGGAGGTATAAGAAAAATAACCGACTGTGGAAGGAATGAAATAGAGGGCATGTGGCAAAGCTGGAAGAGGCAAAGAATTCAGAGAAAATGGGGTATTTAAATGGTGGGTTGCTATGCCTGACACAATAACTATATAACAAAAATAAGTATCATTTTTTTCTATGAAAGATTGAAAACTCACTGGAGAAAAAGCATCACCTAGGAGTCATAACTATTTGTAAGATATATTTTATTTTTAACAAAAAAAGTAACATGAGATTCACTGGGCACAATGTATTAAATGATGAACAGCCACTTAATGATTCATTAAATATTCAGAACTCTCTAACTTGGAGAATAAATATGTACTAATTATAGCTCATGCTCAGAATTTATATACTATCTAAATTATTGTCCTGGAGAAAAATACATCATGTAGAAACCTTCTTCAGGCCCTGTGGTTCAGCTTCTTGAACCCTGTGATAGACACACCTGCAACTCTAAGAACTACACTCAGGTTCTCCTCCATTTTCCTGCCCCTCCCACTTTTCCTTCCTTCTCTGTTCTCTCACTGAATTTTTATCTTCCTTTCCTTTCTGTAAAGTTTGAATCTTTTCAAATTCAGTTGTAGTCACACATCCTTTAGAAAGCATTCTATCACTGTTCTCCCCAGATTTTTAGCTTAGTTCGTATCATGAATACCCATATATTGATGAGCAAGTGTCTGTGTCTTCTCTACTTGTATTCAATTTTTCAGTTTAGAAATACATTTTGAGTCCAAGTAAACAAATCACAAGATAAGATTCTTATCTAATTGAAGCTAAACATTTTTTCTTTAGGTGAACATTTTGAAATGACTAAATTCAATATTTTCCACATATCTTTTCATCCATATGTAAGATTATTGTGATTGCAATGATTACGTTTTCCACAATCACATTTAAGAAAATAACCTGAAAATGCTGAAAAGAAAACTAAAGTTCCTTATTTATTAACAAAGAAAGATTTTGTGTTTTATGGAAATTATCTTCCTTAGCTAGGTTAGGAATTTCCTTCAATTACCATTTACCTAGATGTCACCCTAAAATGAATGAGAACTTGATAGTTATTTTTCTATAATAAGGCAAACATCTAAATAAAATATAAAATTAAAAAATTATTTTGTATTTTTGTGACTTTTTATTATGGTAAAATTTCAAACTTAGAGAAGAGTTGCAAAAAAGTAGTACAAAAGACTAACATTTACCCTTTTACCAGATTGAGTATTAGTTTACATTTTCCCCCAAAGCTTTGTTATATCATCTATCAACTATCTATCTATTTATCTATCTATCTATCTATCTATCTATCTATCTATCTACCTATCTATCTCTTTTTCTGGGCTAGTTGAGAGTAAGTTGGAGATGACACGTTCCTTTATGCCAAATACTTTATTCAGTGTTTTTTGTCTAAGGAAAAGGATGTTACTTTACATAAGTCCAGCACAGTACCCAAATCAGCAAACTTAATATGGGCACAATATTATTATCTAATCCATAGTCCACACTGAGATTTCTTAAATTGTCTCAATAATTTTGTTAATAGCTAGTTTTTGAAAAAATCCAGGATTGTACACTGAGAAATCACATCTCACTAGTCTCTTTTCATCTGGACCAGTTCCTCACCCTTTGTTTTTCTACTTAAACTTGATACTTTTCTGAATTGTATAGGCAAGCTATTTCTCTCAATTTGAGTTTTTCTCATGTGTCTTCATTATTAGAATTAGTCTTCATTATTAGAATTTTTAACACAAATATCACTGAAGTGACAGCATGTCCTGTTCAGAGCATCATCACAGCAGGTTCATGATGTTGGTTTGTGCAAATACAGTTGATCTTAAGATCAATAAAATCACTGGTTATGGTGGTGTCTGACAGGTTTTTCTACTACAAACTTTACTGTTTTTCAGTTTGAAATTAACTAGAAAGTTGTGAGGAGATATTTTAGACTATTTTAGATATTTGTACATATTCTGTTCCCCATCAAATTTTTATCCACTAGTTTTTGCAATCATTTATGTTTTTCTTAACACCGTCACCCCTTCTATATTTGTTAATTAGGGATCTACTGTAAGGAATAGCTTTATCTTCACCATTCATTTATTTATTCTTTTACTTTTTATATCAGTATGAGCTTTATAATTCTTCTTTTGTTAAATTCATTACTACTAATGGTTAAATTGTCCTACAATTAAATGATGGCAAGCCCTTCAAACTGGCTTTTATTTTTTATTCATGTGTGCTGATATTTTTGGATCATTTGTTTACTCGTTTTTTGAGTTTACCTTTCTTTTTTTTCTCTCAGGTAATAGGAAATGAATGATGATGGAAAAGTCAATGCTAGCTCTGAGGGGTACTTTATTTTAGTTGGATTTTCTAATTGGCCTCATCTGGAAGTAGTTATCTTTGTGGTTGTCTTGATCTTCTACTTGATGACACTGATAGGAAACCTGTTCATCATCATCCTGTCATACCTGGACTCCCATCTGCACACACCAATGTACTTCTTCCTTTCAAACCTCTCATTTCTGGATCTCTGCTACACCACCAGCTCTATCCCTCAGTTGCTGGTCAATCTCTGGGGCCCGGAAAAGACCATCTCTTATGCTGGTTGCATGATTCAACTTTACTTTGTTCTCGCACTGGGAACCACAGAGTGTGTCCTACTGGTGGTGATGTCCTATGACCGTTATGCAGCTGTGTGTAGACCTTTGCATTACACTGTCCTCATGCACCCTCGTTTCTGCCACCTGCTGGCTGTGGCTTCTTGGGTAAGTGGTTTTACCAACTCAGCACTTCATTCCTCCTTCACCTTCTGGGTACCTCTGTGTGGACACCGCCAAGTAGATCACTTTTTCTGTGAAGTTCCAGCACTTCTGCGATTATCGTGTGTTGATACCCATGTCAATGAGCTGACCCTCATGATCACAAGCTCCATATTTGTTCTCATACCTCTCATCCTCATTCTCACTTCTTATGGTGCCATCGTCCGAGCTGTACTGAGGATGCAGTCAACCACTGGGCTTCAGAAAGTGTTTGGAACATGTGGAGCTCATCTTATGGCTGTATCTCTCTTTTTCATTCCGGCCATGTGCATATATCTCCAGCCACCATCAGGAAATTCTCAAGATCAAGGCAAGTTCATTGCCCTCTTTTATACTGTTGTCACACCTAGTCTTAACCCTCTAATCTACACCCTCAGAAACAAAGTTGTAAGAGGGGCAGTGAAGAGACTAATGGGGTGGGAATGAGCCTGTGTATGTGTCATATTAACAATATAACAGAGTCTCCCCTCACAATGATTCATCCTTCTATTTATTTATCAACCATTCTTTTATTCACTCACTCTGTTAGCACTTGCTGAGCATGTACTCTAACAAGGTCGTGGAGTTCCTGGTAACAGGTAGGAATAAAACACAGTCAGCCTAAATACCATTCACTTGTGGAGAAAACAGCTATGTAAAATCAAGATAAAACATCTATAGTGATGTTTTTCCATGGTACAAACCTAATGTATCCAAGACAGACATTTCTCGATTGAAAATAAGGCATGAAATTTGTTGTAAATCTTGATAAAAGCGAAGCTGTAAATCCTATGAAAAGATGATACTCTCAATTTAAAAATCTCTACAATATGTCTTTTAATTTCTTGCTTTTTGGGCAGAATACTTTTGTCTTCTATCTTTAGTTTAGTTAAATACACAGCAAAATACTTCAAATCCTTTTCTCCAACAATGCTTATTCTTTGTCGGATAGTAAATTTTGAGAGGAATTTTGGTCCATATTCTTTCATATCCAGTATCAATAGTAGAACAATAAGTTTTATGAATTGTAGTAAGAGAGGCTTTGAAACAGTATAGCAGAAGTCAGCATCTGAGATCCCTCTTTTTTGCAAGGCAGTGAGAAATATATAGGAAGTAAAAGGAGCTGGTAAAGCTGAGCTATGGAGCTTATAAACAAATGGTCATCATAGGCTAGGTATACTTAGGTGAGGTAAGTGCTTGGAGCAACTGCATTACCTAAGGAACTAAGGAAAACATTTGAGGCAAATAGAGAGGCTCTGAAAATGACTTGAAGCCAATGGGTGTATGAAAGAATTATGTGAAAATATATTGGAAAAATTTTATGATAGAAACTGTCATATGGAAAATGATAGCTTATTTTTATTTTAAAGCTTGATCTAATTTGAGTATTTATGGTTAATAAGTATATTATGTATGTCAATATATGTGTTTCAAATAAAGAAATCTATTTTATAGAAGTAATCATTTTGTTTTATATATTATTGTCAACCATCTTCATTTGAAATAATTGCGCTATACCTAGAGCAATTTAAACTGACAGTCATAGTCAAATGAAGCGGAAAAATGGCTAAAGGAGAATTCAGTATAAAGTAACGTACTTGCAATGCCTGAGTTTTCTCTATAACTCAAATGTCAGCTGTAGCTTTTGAGGCCTGTGAGATTTAGATATGATTGATTCACACACTATTTCCTAAATTATTATAAAAATAAAAACGCATCTCAGAACTTCCCTCCAATTTCTAGTGTGACTTGCAATTGCATTGATTCTGCTGACTTTATCTTCCTTCTGCATCTCTGACTCTTCCTTTATTTCTAACTAGGCATGAAAAATATGAGGCATGTGCCCTTGTCCTTAACCTTACCCAAGAAGTGAAGAACCAAGAATAATGTATGTAAAATGACTTTTAGCAAGAATTGGGACCACATACGGTAAAACATCACATAAAAACACATTTTTAAAAACTTAAAGAACATAACTTCGCCCTTTGAACTGTTTTCTACTATGGAAATCTTACGATTTGGAGCACTTACGGTAGCATCCTGGTTTCTCACCTACTCAAATATCCCCCCCCCCCCCATCTTTATTAAGGATAAGTGAAAAAAATGTATTTATTTATAATATACAGCATAATGTTTTGACATATGCATAATTATGCAATTATTACTCAAGCTAATTAACAGATCATTAACTCACATACTTACCTGTTTTGTGGTGAGAACATTTAGGATCTATTATCTTAGCAGTTTTCAACTATGCAGTACAGTATTATTAGCTATAGTCACCATACCGTAGAATAGATCTCTTGAATTTGTTCCTTCCATCTGAAACTTTGTACCCTTTGACCAATATCTCCCCATTTTCCCTATTTCTCTCCACTGCTAACCCCTGACAAGCATCTTTCTGCTACTCTGTGCTTCTATGATTCATTTTATGTCGATTTCACATATGAGATCATGCAGTATTTGTTTTTCTGTGCCTGGCTTATTTTACTTAGCAAAATGTCTTCAGGTTTGCCATGTTGTTGAGAATATTAAGACTTCCTTCTTGTTTTCAGGCAGAATAGTATTCTATTATATATATACTACACTTTCTTTATTCACTCATTCATTGACAGACACTTAGATTGATTCAATACCTTGGCTATTATGAATTTGCTGTCATAAAGATGGGTGTATAGATAGCTTTTCAACATAGTGATTTAATTCTTTTGGATATATACCTAGAATATATACAAATGGATCATACGGTAGTTCTATTTTTATTCATTTATTTTTAATTTATATATTTATTTATTTATTTATTTTTTATTTATTTATTTATTTATTTTTATTATACTTTAAGTTTTAGGGTACATGTGCACATTGTGCAGGTTAGTTACATATGTATACATGTGCCATGCTGGTGCGCTGCACCCACTAACTCGTCATCTAGCATTAGGTATATCTCCCAATGCTATCCCTCCCCCCTCCCCCCACCCCACCACAGTCCCCAGAGTGTGATATTCCCCTTCCTGTGTCCATGTGATCTCATTGTTCAATTCCCACCTATGAGTGAGAATACACAGTGTTTGGTTTTTTGTTCTTGCGTTAGTTTACTGAGAATGATGATTTCCAATTTCATCCATGTCCCTACAAAGGACATGAACTCATCATTTTTTATGGCTGCATAGTATTCCATGGTGTATATGTGCCACATTTTCTTAATCCACTCTATCATTGTTGGACATTTGGGTTGGTTCCAAGTCTTTGCTATTGTGAATAATGCTGCAATAAACATACGTGTGCATGTGTCTTTATAGCAGCATGATTTATAGTCCTTTGGGTATATACCCAGTAATGGGATGGCTGGGTCAAATGGTATTTCTAGTTCTAGATCCCTGAGGAATCGCCACACTGACTTCCACAATGGTTGAACTAGTTTACAGTCCCACCAACAGTGTAAAAGTGTTCCTATTTCTCCACATCCTCTCCAGCACCTGTTGTTTCCTGACTTTTTAATGATTGCCATTCTAACTGGTATAAGATGGTATCTCATTGTGGTTTTGATTTGCATTTCTCTGATGGCCAGTGATGATGAGCATTTTATATATTTAATTTAACTTAATTTTTTGAGATGGAGTCTTGCTCTGTTTCCCAAGCTGGAGTGCAGTGGTGGGATCTCTGCTCACTGCAAACTTTGCCTCCCGGGTTCAAGCGATACTCCTGCCTCAGCCTTCTGAATAGCTGGGACTACAGGTGTGTGCCACTGCACCGAGGTAATTTTTGTATTTTTAGTAGATATGCGGTTTCACCATGTTGGCCAGGCTGGTCTCAAACTCCTGACCTCGGATGATCTGCCCACCTCGGCTTCCAAAGTGCTGGGATTACAGTTGTGAGCCACCCTGTTTGGCAATATTTTTAATTTATTTAGGAACCTTCACAGTGGTTTTCCTCATGGCTGTCCTAATTTACATTTCCAAAAACAGTGTATAAGGATTCCCTTTTCTGCATATTCTTCTCAACATCTGTTATCCTTTGTCTTTTTTCATAATAGACATTCTAACTGATGTAAGGTATGAGGTGATATCTACTGGTGCGGGCCTGGACTTTAGGTCCACTGGAGCCTAGAGCAGTGGGGACCATCCCCCTGAAGCCTGGAGCTGGTGTGGTGCTAGAGTGGAACTTACTGCCTTGGGGGCTGGTCTGGAGTCCGGGTTTATGGGGCCCAGCTTATATGTACTGGTCTGGAGGCTAGATCCTTGGGTACTGGCATGGGTCTTGGGGCTACAGAGTCTGACCTGGGGGGCCAACTGGCACTGGAAAGTCCTATTTTGCCATTTTATTGATACCACTTCTCACTATCTAAATTCTTTTTTTTTCTTTTTAACTTTCTGTGCTCTTTTCTCCTTTTTCTCTTACAAAACATATACATTTTCTTTTATATGTATAGACTTTTCATTTTCTTTTGGGAGGTTATAATTATAGTATATCTAATGTTGAATCCTAGCCATATTAGCCTGTGCTGTGTAATTTGTAATCTGAGAAATAGATCAGTTACCAAAAATTCCACCAAAGATTAACACTGGTATTACTGTTTTTATTGTTTTGTACTTTTCAAACCAGTCGAACAGACTTTATGCAGTATTATCACAGATAGGACAACAGGAATGAGTTTTCTCACTTTATCAAACTGAAGGGAAGAAAATAGGTGGCTTGTATAACTTCTGGCAACTTGTATGTGAAAAAATCAGGGTAAGGACAATACATTTTTAGCTCTGACAACCCATTCCTATGTCAACAACACTGAAGGCAAAATAGAAGCCCTGAGATGCTCCCCTTGTCAGCCCTAAACCTTATGAAAACATTTGTGAACTGGGATTTCCAAAGCACACATGAATTTGTATGGCAAGCAACTTTACTGAAGAACTAACAGTGAAGCCAGCTTTTTCCCAGATAGGAATGAAGGCTAACCTCATGGAAGCATCAGCTTCTTTTGCCCTGTAAATTTCTCCTCCCCATTCAGACAGATGTCTCCCAGTCTTTGTCCACTGTATCTTATACTTGTTGCTGTGCAGCATATTCTTATATACATACTCAATTATCTTTTCTTATTTTAACTCTGCAGTACAGAATTGTTGGCACAAATATGTCATCCAGGTAATCACAGAAAGTAGCTCTGGCTTCCAGCCTAGGTACACTCCGTCTGTATTCTGCTATGTAGCTCAGGTTCATATCTCCTATTTTACATATGTGAGGCTGGAAAGGTGATTAGTGATCATATATTATGAAAACACTACATGATTTCAAACATAAGTTTCAAATACAAGTGATTATATACCAAGTATCATCCAACAATCACAAAAAAACTCATGGAAAAGTTATAAAAATAGTAGAAAGACTTACCATTGAGCTTCACCAGATTTAAAAAATCTTAGCATTTCAACATGTATGGTTTATCATTCTCACTTTATACTAATGTTAATATGCATTTAAATTTTTTTTCTAAACTATTACGCTGTAATGCACATGTTCCCCTAGGTTGTCACAAGAATATTTCCTAAAAAAGTATCTAATCCAGGATCATAAGGTGGCAGTGTGATGTCTCTTTTTTCTCTTTAATTGGGAACCATTCCTCAGTCTGTCTGTCTCTTCAATGCACCTTATAGTTTTGAAGAGTGCAGGCCGGCCATTTACTTTAACAAAATAATTGTTTTTAACAAATAAGGGGGATTTATTGCTTATAAAACCAAAAAGTTCAGCAGTAGTGTGGGCTTCAGGTATAGCTTGATCAGTGCTCTGGATCAATATCTCTGCAGTTTCCTCAGCTATGTCCTCTTCCATGTATTGGATTTGTCATCAAGTTGATTCCCCTCACAATCACGAAACATTGTCAGCAATAATCAGGCCTATATGCTTCCTTGTTCACATTCAAGAGGTTGAATATCATCCTATAATCAATGAACAAAAATGGCTCTTTATACAGAGCTTCATACTGACGCATAAGTTGTCTGCACATTCCTGGCAACATGTTTGGGACAAGGGGCGAAAATGCAATGATTGGCTGAGATTAATTGGGGGCCACTTCTGAAGCCAGGTTTTCAGTGAAAGGGCCATATATGCAAAGCCATCTCTCAAATGCACAAAGAGCAGATAAATCAAAGAAGGAGGCAGACAAATCTAGCTTGTTGGTTTGGGGTGATTTACTAAAGGAATTTACAGACATATATGTTGTCTTGGGTGGCCACAACATAGTTAGATTTTGCACTGCAGTCCTCCAGATCTAGGGCTTATCTTTTGAGGAAAGTATACTTGCTCTGAAAGAAACATGTAGGTAGCTACAGGTGCCATGGACTATGCTTCCTACAACAGCGTCAAGGGTTGTTTTGGAGGAAACTTACAGTGAATACATGTTCCTACATAAAGAGTAATATATCAACTTAACATCTTATAGGGACTCAGGGTTATTCAGAAGTTACACGGCAGATTAGCATTTAAAATAAAGTCACTCTTGCTCCTGCACTGGGGGTGGGGTTAATTTCATCCAAAGCACATGCTACACAGTGTAGGTGAGATGGGATAACTATTGGGAGGCAACAGTAATATCATAGTCTCTATTGTCTGCATGAGAAAACTGACCACAACAGAGCTAGTAAGTGATGAAGCTTGGATTCAAATGTGGGCTTTCTAACTTCACAGTTTGTTCTTAATCACTAGGCAATTGTTCCTCCCTATAGACATCTGAACTCTTTAAAACAAGAAGGTGAGGATTCAGTATGTACATTTCTTGGCTCTTTGCAACTTGTCATGGGAAGGTCTTCATTTTCTCCTATTCTTTGTTTTAACACCTAATATTTGAACCACACTGAATTTATCTTACTCTCTTACTGTCCTGAGGATGTTCACAAGAACTTTTCCTTCAAGGTTAAAATGTGTCACTTATACCTCAACCAAACATTTCATATTTGCAGCAATTATGCTTATTCACATAAGGTTGTAAATTCCTCAAGGCTCAACCAATGGCTGAGAAGTGTTTTGGGCCACTGTACCTTTAACAGGCCATTGGTGCATGAAGAACATCAGCGACAATGTCATTCTCCTAGACCACTGGGCAGTATCTGCCATATGTAGGCCAGTCGTTATTTTTTATTACCATTATTACTAATTTTTACTATTATTACTATAGTGGTTTCCAAATAATGATTCTTAAAGTTCCATCATTCCTTCTAAACTTATTAGTTTGTGTGGTAGGCTAAATACTTCCTCTCCTTGTCGCAAATGATCACACCCTAACCTCTGGGACTTGTTATTATATGTTACTTTACATGGCAAAAGGATTTTTATAGATGTGATTAAATTCAGAACCTTGAGTTGGGATTATTATCCTGAATTAGCCAGGTGGGCTGACATAGTCATATGTGTTCATATAAGAGGGAGGCCAGAGGTCAGAGAGAAGATAGTCTGCTGCTGACTTTAAAGAAACAGGAATGGGCCATGAGCCAAGGAAAACAGGTTGCTTCTAGAAGCTGGAGTAGTTGAGAAAACAGATTCTCTCTGAAAGCCTACAGAAGAAATGCAGCCCTGTAGACCCAATTTAGTATTCCTATCTCCAGATACATGATATTTTTGTTATTTTAAACACCAAATTTGTAGTAATTTGTTATAGCAACAATGGAAAACTAATAGAGTTGGCATTCTATATGAAGGAATAGCTTTCCTTTTTCCTGTGTGTGTGTGTGTGTGTACGTGTGGGTATCAGGTATTATTTATCTATGTGTCTACCTATATATCATAATATGGTCTTATGCATTATTATTTCATTCTGTCATTATTTTGATGCTGAAATGGTCACTGTTTTGGCTAGAGAGGACCCCTTCCAGTTGGCTCATATATCTTTTTTATATGTCTCCATACTTCTTAAGGCCAAGATGGGCAGATCACAAGGTCAGGAGGTCCACACCATCCTGGCTAACACGGTGAAACCCCATCTCTATTAAAAATACAAAAAAATTAGCTGGGCGTGTTGGCGGGCGCCTGTAGTCCCAGCTACTCGGGAGGCTAAGGCAGGAGAATGGTGTGAACCCGGGAGGCGGAGCTTGGTGCCACTGCACTCCAGCCTGGGCAACAGAGCGAGACTCCGTCTCAAAAAAAAAAAAAAGAATTTCTTACTGTTGGCAAACTGAGACGATCTTAACATATCTGACACTTTTCTTTGGGAGGAATAGATAACTTTGTTTATCTTAGGTCAAATGACAAAAACTTTGAATAAAGTACTGGGGTTTCCTAATGAACAATTCACTAGAAATGCATGGAATAGATAACACCAAGGCATGGTAATATTGTTGACAAATATTTATTTAGTTATAACATCACATTTCTTTACCCACTCAGGAAATGGAAAGTTTTTGTATTGTGCTTGAGAGTGAGGCAATGGTGAAGAACAGTGACTGGCTATGGGTTTGGGGAGTCATTTGGCAGGAGTGTAAATCCTTGAAATTTGAAAATCTTTCAAATTATCTTGATTCTCCTCAACAAAATACTAGCAAACCAAATCGAACAGCACATAAAAACCTAATTTCTTAGCTTTTTGATGAAATAGCTGTTTCCTCACCTTTTCTATCGTCTAGAGGTAACCTACATTCCTTGGCTCATGGCCCATTCCTCTATATTTAAAGTCAGCAGTGGAGTATCTTCCCTTTGACTTCTGGCCTCCCTCTTATATGGACACGTGTGATTGTGTCAGCTCACTTGCCTAATCCAGGATAATATCCCCATCTCAAGATTCTGAATTTCATCACATCTATAAAGTCCTTTTGCCATGTAAAGTAACGTATAATCACAGGCTCCACAGATTAGGGTGTGATCATTTGCATCCCAGGGAAAAAGCCTACCATGATCCCTTGTGTCCCAGGGATAAAGCCCACGATGATCAAGTAGGCTTTATCCCTGATAGGAAAGGTTGGTTCAACATATGCAAATCAATACATGTGATTCATCACATAAACAGAAATGAAAACAAAAACCACATGATTATCTCAATACACGCAGAAAAGGCTTTCAATAAAATTCAACATCCCTTCATGTTAAAAACCCTCAATTAACTAGGCATTGAAGGAACATACTTCAAAACAATAAGAGCAATCTGTAAAAAACCCACAGCCAACATCATACTGAATGGGCAAAAGCTGGAAGCATTCCCCTTGAAAACTGGCACAAGACATGGATGCCCTCTCTCACCACTCCTATTCAACATAGTACTGGAAGTCCTGGCCAGAGCAATCAGGCAAGAGAAAGAAATGAAAGGCATCCAAATAGAAAGAGAAGAAGTTAAACTATTCTTGGTAGCAAAAGACATGATTCTGTATAAAGAAAACCCCATAATCTTGGTCCAAAAGCTCCTTGATCTGATAAACAACTTTAGATAAGTTTCAGGATATAAAATAAATGTACAAAAATTTAGCATTCCCATACATCAACAACATCTAAGCTGAGGCCTAAATCAGGAATGCAATCCCATTCACAACTGCCACAAAAAGAATAAAATACCTAGAAATACTGCTAACCTAAAAGGTAAAACATCTCTACAATGACAATTACAAAACACTGCTAAAAGAAATCAGAAGTGACACAAGGAAATGGAAAAAACATCCCATGCTGATGGATACTAAGAATCAGTATCATTACAATGACCATACCGTCCAAAGCAATTTATAGATTCAATGCAATTTGCTATCAAACTACCAATGACATTGTTCACAGCATTAGAAAAAAACTATTTTAGAATTTGTATGGAATTAAAAAAGAGCCCTAATAGCCAAGGCAATCCTAAGAAAAAAGAACAAAGTTAGAGGCATCACCTTACTCAAATGATACCAGAGGGCTACAGTATCCAGAACAGCATGATACCGGTACAAAAACAGATATATACACCAATGGAATAGAATAGAGAACCCAGAAATAATGCCACACATCTACAAATATCTGATCTTCAACAAAGCTGACAAAAACAAGCAATGGGGAAAGGACTCCCCATTTTATAAAGGGTGCTGAGATAAGTGACTAGCTCCATGCAGAAGATTGAGACTGGATGCCAAACTTGCACCACATACAAAAATCAACTCAAGATGAATTAAAGACTTAAATGTAAAAATGAAAACTGTTAATATAAAAACTCTGAAGATAACCTAGGAAATATCATTCTGGACATAGGACTTGGCCAAGATTTCATGCCGAAGATGCCAAAAGCAATTGCAACAAAAACAAAAATTGACAAATGAGGCCTATTTAAACTAAAGAACTTCTCACAGTAAAAGAAACTATCAACAGTGGAAACAGACAGTCTACAAAATGAGAGAAAATATCTGCATACAATGCATTTGACAAAGGTCTAATATCTGGCATCTAGAAAGAACTTAAACAAATTTATAAGAAAGAAACAATGCCGTTTAAAAGTCAGCAAAAGACATAAACAGACACTTTCCAAAAGAAGATACACATGCGGCCAAGCATATGAAAAAATGCTCAATATCATTAATCATTAGAGAAATGCAAATCAAAACCGCAATGAGATACCATCTCGTACCAGGTGGAATGGCTATTATCAAAAAGTCAAATTATTAATAACAGATACATCAAGGCTATGGAGAAAAGGGAATGCTTATACACTGCTGGTGGGAATGTAAATTACCTTAGCTATTGTGGAAAATGGTGTAATGATTCCTCCAAGAACTTAAAACAGAACTACTCTTCCACCAAGCAATCCCATTAGCGGGTATATACCCAAAGGAATATAAATCATTCTACCATAAAGACATATGCACGAGTATGTTCATTGCAGCACTGTTCACAACAGCAAATACATGAAATCAACCTAAATGCCCATCAACAGTAGATTGGGTAAAGAAAATGTGGTACATAGACCCCATGGAATACTATGCAGTCATAAAAAGAATGAGGTCATTTCCTTTGCAGCACCATGGATGGAGCTGCAGGCCATCATCCTAAGCAAACTAAATGGAAAAGAGCCAAATACCACATGTTCTCACTTATAAGTGGGAGCTAAACATAAGAACACATGGATACTAGAAGGTGAACCACATGCACTGGGGTCTACTTGACGGTGGAGGGTGGGAGGAGGAAGAAGATCAGAAAAAATACCTATTGAGTACTATGCTTATTACCTGGATGATGAAATTATCTGTACTCCAAACCCCTGTGATGCGCAGTTTACCTGTATAACAAACCTGCACATATACCCATGAACCTAAAATAAAAGTTAAAAAAACCTAAACCCCAAATTACCTTCAACCTTCATGAGTTTTTACATTTGAAAGTTAAATCGATAACTTAATGACAATAATTCAACTCTCTCATGCTTATCCCCCTCATCTAACCCAAAACAAAACAAGATTGGATACTGAGGTGAGGAACCTTTGAATTTTTAAATAGTATTAGGTCTAGCAGAACCTCAGAAAGACACGTTTACATTAAGAGGACTTTGACTATTGATATGGGCATGTAAGTTCTTTACTGCCACGTTCCTAGTAATTCCTGAATTGCACATGTATGAAATGACATTAATTCTCTCATACTTTAGGGTTGCTTGTCAGTGCCTAGAAGGAATACAGTCTCTGTGGCCAGTCTTCCTGGATCAACAAGAGCCTTGTAGTTTCCCATTTTTCATGTGCTAATAGTGAAAATGTTTAGAAAGCCCCATCTATCCTCCCACATTGGCATCCCACTGATGTGCTGTCCTGGTTGCTAGGTGCAGATTTAGGTTCCAAGCAGAACACTGCTAGTGTTCTCTGCAGTTTGTTGTAGAATCATAGTGTCTTGGCAACCAAAGGCAGATCTGGTGCTATGGAGGACCTGCTTACTGCTATGAGGTGTTACTTTATAGAGGTCCTGGAGAAGCTGATTGAGGCCACGTCAATGTTGCAAGGAGACATGAGACTCACATCAGAGTTCTATGGCTTAACATGGGGGATGGTGGTAAGTGCGGCTCTATTTGGATTTTGTAATTATAAAAGCCCACTTTATGTAGAGAGAAAAAAAAGAGTTTACCAGAGAAGTTTCTTCTGTAGTTGAAGACAAATGTAATGTTTTAATAAATTAGGCTGATTAAAAAAGAATATGAGTTTGGCGTGCTGGCTCATGCCTGTAATCCCAGAACTTTGGGAGGCAGAGGCGGGTGGATCACCTGAGGTCAGGAGTTTGAGACCAGCCTGGCCAACACGGTGAAACCCCATCTTTACTAAAAATACAAAAAATTAGCCGGGCTTGGGGGTGTGTTCCTGTAATCCCAGCTACTTGGGAGGTGAGGCAGGAGAATCGCTTGAACTTGGAGGCAGAAGTTGCAGTGAGCCGAGATAGTGCAATTGCACTCCAGCCTGGGCAACAAGAGCAAAACTTTGCCTCTTGAAAAAAAAAAAAAGTGTATGAAAAGGTAAATTATTTTTCATGGAGTCCTGCCCTGAGAACAAGGCATCAAATCCTCTAAGTGTATAGGAAATTTGAGTTCAAAATAGATGCTTTGAAAAAAATAAAGAAAATGTTTTTGAAAAATGCAAATTTTAACAGATTTAGGGTATAGAAGTGCAGTTGTGTTCCATGGATATATTTACATAGTGAAGTCTGAGATTTCAGTGTATCCATCATCCAAATAGGATACATTGTCCTCAATAGGTAGTCTTTCATCCCTCAACCCTTTCCCAACTTCCCACCTTTTGGAGTCTCCAATGTCATTATTTCATTCTGTATCCACATGTACCCATTGTTTAGCTCCCACTTATAATTGATAATATCTAGCATTTGGCTTTCTGTTTTTGAGTTATTTCACTTAAGCCAATGGCCTCCAGT
This sequence comes from Homo sapiens, assembly GCF_000001405.40. Classification (NCBI taxonomy): domain Eukaryota; kingdom Metazoa; phylum Chordata; class Mammalia; order Primates; family Hominidae; genus Homo; species Homo sapiens. The sequence continues at coordinate 390,773 of NT_167246.2, forward strand.
TCCATCCAAGTTGTTATAAAAGACATGACTTCAGTCTTTTTATGGGGAAGTAGTATCACATTTTAGAAATCCAATAGTCCATTGATGGACACTCAGGTTGATTCTATTACTTTGCTATTGTGAATAGTGCTGCGATATACATAGACATGCAGGTTTCTTTCTGATATAATGATTTACCTTTAGGTTGATATCCAATAATGGGATTGCTGGGTCAAATGGTAGTTCCATTTTTAGTTCTTTGAAAAGTCTCCATACTGTTTTCCACAGGGCTTGTACTAATTTACATTCCCACCAACAGTGTATGTATTCTTTTTTTCTCTATACCCTTGGCAAAATTTGTTTTTTTTTTTTTTGTCTTGATTTTTTTAATCATGGCCATTTTGAATGGCATAAGGTAATATCTCATTGTGGTTTTAACTTGCAATTCTCTTATGATTAACATTTGTTCATATGTTTATTGGCCATTTATATGTGATCTTTGGAAAAAAAAAGAACATCTTAAAGTTCAGAATGGGGCCAGGTGCAGTGGCTCATGTTTGTAATCCCAGCACTTTGGGAGGCCGAGACAGGTGGATCACAAGGTCAGGAGTTCAAGACCATCCTGGCTAACACGGTGAAACCCCGTCTCTACTAAAAATAGAAAAAATTAGCCGGGCGTGGTGGGGGGTGCCTGTAGTCCCAGCTACTCGGCAGGCTGAGGCAGGAGAATCGCTTGAACCTGGGAGGCAGAGGTTGCAGTGAGCCGAGATTGCATCACTGCACTCCAGCCTGGGTGACAGAGCGAGACTCCGTCTAAGAAAACAAAACAAAACAAAACAAAACAAAAAACTTCAGAATGTATTACATTCATGGCTAGGTTTAGAATATGGGTTGAGTCACTGGAAGATGTGTTGAATGAAGTCTTTTAAATAGTGAGAACCTGATGCCAAAATGACCTTAAAACTATGTCAAAAGAGAAAAACCCCACTTAAGACAGCAATAAAATAGGGTTTGGATGAGCATTTCAATCTTGAGGAAAACCTAACCTGTTTGCAAAATAAGCCTAAGGATTGGATGACAAGTTTACCACTGGGCAAAAAGATATTTATATCCTTGGATTAAGTGCTAAATGATAAGAAATCAAACCAAATATTTGAGTGAACAATTGATGAATATTCACTACTATACTTGGAGAAGATAAAATGGATGTTGGGACTTAGAACTAGATCAAATCAGAATGAGTATCGATCAATGTTCAGTCAAAGGGGGTTGGAGGAAATTTGTTTATGCTTCTTAAAACGCTTTTTTTTTTCTTTTTTGAGACGGAGTCTTGCTCTGTTGCCCAGGATGGAGTGCAGTGGTGCCATCTCGACTACTGCAACCCCCATCTCCCGGTTTCAAGTGGTTCTCCTACCTCAGCATCCTGAGTAGCTGGGATTACAGGCATGCACCACCACTTCTGGCTAACTTTTGTATTTTTAGTAGAGACAGGGTTTCACCATGTTGCCAAGGCTGGTCTCGAATTCCTGACCTCAAGTAATCCTCCCAATTTGGCCTCCCAAAGTGCTGGGATTACAGGCATAAGCCACCGTGCCTGGCCTCTTAAAAGACTCTTCACGGACAGAGAAATAAAATATAAATTAGGTTATATGAAAAACATTGAATCGTGAAGCCTTTAAAAATCACACTGAACATATTCAGCATGAATTAAGCATTTTTCTAGCACGAAAATGTAGCTTGAAAGTAAGTAAGGTTCAGAACATTTAGCCAAATGTTTAAGTAATTTCTAAACTGTATTGAGAAAATGGAATAGTTTCATGGATTATCTGTATTAGAAAAAGTTAATTAGAAAGTTTTCAAATACACATTAAGTGATAGATACAGAAAAAAAAAACAAAATTCTTAGAGAAAAAATGAAAAAACTGACCTGTTCTTATCAAAGACATGATTTCCCATATTTAAAAAAGCTTGTAATAATTGATTTACAATTAAGTTGACTGAAGAAAATCTCACTGATTTAAGAAAATCTATATGAAAGTCCAGATGCCAGTATTTTTTCCTATAAAAATCTTCATAGTCAATATTAAGGCTTTGTAAATTGAGATACAAAATTGAAGTATTATGAAAGTACTCATGTAACAAGATTGAAAATAAATTCTCACAAATTCCTTTGTCACTAAAACAAAAGCACTGAAAATTTATGCTAGCAAGAATGCAAAGTGAGGGAAACTCTCTTTGATTGCTGGAAGAAATGCAAAGTGGTGCAACTAATTTGACCATTTGGCAATTTTTATAAAGTTTAATATAGTCTTGCCATATGACTTAACAATCACATTCCTAAGTATTTACACCAGTGAATTAAATCTTATGTCCATGTAAAAATTTGCATGCAAGTATTTATATCAGTGTTATTCATAATTACTCAAAACTGTAAGCAACCCATGCCCTTCAATAGGGGAAAAATAATCTTGGGTATTTCCATACAATGATCTATGATTTTGTGGAAATTGATTGATGAATGAATACTATTGATCAAAGGGATGGAATGAGCTACTGATACATGCAACAACATGAATATTTGTTAAGTGTATTTCACTAAATGAATGAAGCCAGACTTCAAAGTCTGAATATTGTATGAGTTCATTCATAAGACATCTGGAAAAAGAAAACCTGTTGGGATGGAAACACACCAGTGTTATCCAGGGCTTAGTGTAGGGGAGATTAGTTGATTACAAAGAATACACGCAGGGGACATTTTAAATGATAGAGTTGTCTTGTATGGTGCTGCACTAGTAATATGCAAGTCTATGATTTATTAATCCCCAAGAAGTGTATCACAAAATTGCACTCAAATGCATGCAAATAAACAAGCAAAAGTTTCACCAAGATGCAGGAAGATCCTAGAATGGTATGCAGACAGTGACAAATCAATCTCACGTTATATAAATGTGTAAGCTAACGACCCTGAAAAGGGTAGAGAAGAAGTAAATACTGACTTTGGTTATTTTGAGAAATAATATTTTGATTAAAAAATGTCAGGCTAAAGAGAAAAGTAACTGTGCATAAGTACTGTATTCTAAATGGTAATTTTTTTCTCATGTGGGTACAGCTAATTTTGTAATTGCTTCACAAGCATACTAGTGTTGAACAAAAATGTTAAAAGATGAACAGTGGCATCCAGGTTTCTCACTGTTGGTATGAGAAGTTATAGGTAAACAAGAAAGGAAGGCCAGAATGATCATGAGGGACTGTGCTAGAGTCAGAGTTACACTGTGACATCATGTTTAAACACAAGCACGAATACACACGGACACACACATAGATGGACAAATATAGAAGCAATGACAGATATGTGTGTATTCAGGGCTTACTGTGTGAACACACATTACCTAGCCCTTTCTGCTGAAATAATCTAGAAACAAAGTTACCCTCACAGCAGTGTGTGCATGTCTGCCATGTCCAGTGAAAAGAACCAGAGATCCTTGGGGAAATGTCTGATTCTAAGATATTTCTAAGGCTGGTGAAAAAATATATAAGATAAGCCTGGAGGAGAAGGACCAGTAATACCAGAAATCAAGGAGGGGCCTTGAAGAGAAAAGGATAGCAAAAGGATGAAGACCTGTCCAAGACCCAGCAGCCAGCATGAAAGAGCTCTCAATGGGGAAAGCTGGAACAATTTCAACAACAAAATAAATAACATATCACTGGATTATAATCTGAAGTATAAAAAGTATGAGTCCATACTGTTAAATGATTGAATAAATACATAAATGGAGAAGAAGAGAGAAATCTTCCTTACTGATCTATTAATAGTCTCCACTTTTGGGGGTGGAGCTCGTGATCTCCTTCATTAAGTATAGGCTGGATTCAGTGACTGTCTTCCAAGGAATAGAGTATGGAAAGGTAACAATTGTAAGTTTAAGTTTTATTTAGTGCAAACACTACCTTAAGCAAGTGATTAAAGTCAGCACCATCAGTAATGCCATGTAGATATTATGTAACCCCTGCTCTGATGGGATAAAAAGGGCACTTTACCTCTGTGGTCACCTCTTCAAAAATTCAAAGGCCCAGTGTAATTGATGGCAGCTGTGGCCTGTGTGCAGTGGCTGCTGCCATGACGTTGGCTGCAGTGGGAGAGGTGCGGGTGGGGCTGTGCACTCGATGGAGCCCGAAGGAGCTGGGAACAGGCAAAAGCCCCCACCCCTTATGAGTTGGCAGGCAGGTGCCTTGTGCTCCCCAGGCTCAGTTGCAGCTGCCCAGCTGTGGCTGCAGACCCGGGTATCCCTGTGCTCTTGGGGTCCGGGAGCAGGCAGAAACCTCACCCTCCCGGGTGCAGCTGCAGCTGCTCAAGATGTGGCTACAAACCTGGGCATCCCTGTTCTCTTGGGTGCCAGGAGCCCTGCCCTTCTGGGTGCAGTTGCAGGTGCGCAAGCTGTGGCTGTGGATCTGGGCATCTCCACACTTTTGGGGACCCGGGAAAGAACCCTTGCCCCCGTGCAGACTCGGAGGTGCCTGCTCCTGCTGCCTGGCCTCTGCCTGCTCCTGGCACCAGCTCTGATCTCGGAGCGGAGTTGAGGCTGAGCCCTGGGGCTTTTGCAACCTGGCCTGGTGTGTGCATGCTTGGGGCATTGCTGACACACCAGCATCCTGCTGCCTGAGCCCCGCTCTGGACTTTGGGCACCAGTAAGCAAGGAAGGGAGGCTGGGGAGGTGCTGAAGGCAGCTTGGCCCTGGCCTGCAGGTGACCCTCGGCAGGAACAGCCTGGGTGCCATGAACAGTGGCAGGAGGCAGACAGGCTCCTGGACAGAGAGGGATGGGTCCCCAGTGAGGCCCCACCTTCAACCCAGGGAAGGCTTGAAGCCTGAGAGCCGGGCTGCCAGCCTCGCAGACTGGAGTGGGAATTTATGATGCTTTTTCTGGGCCTGCACATGGTTGCCCAAGGGCCAATCAGCACCTACTTCCTCTACTCTGAAGCCCATAAAAACTCCCGGACTCAGCCAGATTGAAAAAGATGACAAGACAACCAGCTGCAGAGAGGAGGTACCCACCCTAGGGTCTCCTCTCTGCTGAGAGCTGAAAAGGCAATGGTACGGCCAGCTGTGAAAGGAGCTATCCACCTCAGGGTCTCCTCTCTGCTGAGAGTTGAACACTGGTCAGGACACCCTGGCTGTGGAGAGGAGCTACCCTCTATGTGTCTCCTCTGAGCTGTTCTGTTGCTCAGAAAAGCTCCTTTTCACCTAACTCACCCTCCACTTTCTGCATATCTCATTCTTCCTGGGTGCAGGACAAGAACTTGGGACCCACCGAATGGCATGGCTGAAAGAGCAGTCACACAAACAGGGCTAAAACATACCCTTTCCTCACTCACCACATTGCAGGCGACAAAAAGGAGTGAAGAACTGCTGCCCTTCGGGGAGCCCAGACCTAAGAGCTCCCTGAGTCAGGGCTGTGACAGCCTCTTTGGCTCTGTGGTTCCTGGTGTCTCTTAGCTTCTGGGCACCACTGCATTCTGCAGCATCAGCCATGGAAGCTGCTTGCAGTACACCTGCTCCAGCTGCAGCCTTGCAGGGAGCTGGTGCCTGTGTTGGTGCCTGGAACTGCCTGCCCTGCCACAGCAAGCATGCCTGGCTGTGTGCAGTAGGTGGACCCCACACTTTCTCGCTCATACACGCCTCGCTGCTCTGCTTGCCCTTGGCAGGTATGGGATCCAGGCTGGTATTGTGAGCTGAGCACAGCCTGCTAGGCTGAGTGGGCCAGTGGGCCTGAGGAAAACTTGGGCATAGGTGCCACTAGGGACAGAGGTTTTCGCTGGTGAAGTGATACCCCAAGGATCCCATAACATAATCATGAGAAAACATCGGACAAACCATGATTGAAGTGCATTTTATAACATACCTGAGCAGTACTCAAAATTATCAATATCAAGAAAAACAAGGAAACAGATTCAGGAAACTGAAACATGACAACTAAATGCAATGGGGTGTTCTGGATTGAATTTTGCAACAAAAAAAGAACATTAAAGAAAATCCTGCTGAAATCCAAAGATAGTCTGGAGTTTCAGTGATAGTAACATACCAATGTTAGTTTCCTAATTTTGAAAAATAAACCAGAGAAATGTAACATTAAGGGAAAGTGAAACTGGGTAAGGGGTATTTGGGAATTCTCCATGCCATCTTTGCAACTTTTCTGTAAAGCTAAAATTATGTCAAAATAAAGCATGTATGAAAAATGTATTACACAGATGGGAAGGAACAAGATGTCCAACTAGATGCAGCCAGGAAGCACCGCTTTCACTGAGAGAGACCAAATTATCGAGTAAATCAACATAAATTGGACAGATCTTAGGAAAGAAAATGCTGAGCGTGAAGAGGCAAAGCTAAAGCTGAGGCTGTAGAGACAGAAAGCTGGGGACCCTGCTGTTGGGATGGCTTCTGGGAAATTGGCGAATGAGGGAACTGAGGGAATGCTCACTCTTGTCATGGACCTCTGGGATCCTAGCTACAAGAGACTGAATGCCCCCCATAAAGGTGTTAGCTGACAGGGGGATCTCCCTGGCGAAGGTTAACACCGCTTCCTCAACCCCTTCACACACAGACACTTACAGATCACGTAAATGGAAACTCTTCAGGGGATGAGGGAGAATGCAACTCTCTGAGTGTCTTGGTATCAGCAACAGCACAGGTTAGTAATAAGCCCTGAGGCAGGGAAAGTGATCTCATATCAGGAGTAATTGAATGTGAATCATGGGGAAAATTGAGAGATGTATTGGGATCAAGTGGTACTTCAGTTTTCCCCTTAGCCAAAATACATCCCAGAACTTTCTAAATCAACTAGTGCAATGAACTATACTGAATTTTTATTCATGACTTCATTACACTACTAAAAGATAAAGTCTCTACTCCGGCTTCTAGGTTAATAGTAGCAAAGTATAATATGCCTATTTAAAATGGTCCTATTACCTAAAAAAGTTGATCTCATGGAAGTAGAGAGTAGAAGAGTGGTTACTAGAGGAGCTGGATAGGGTAGGGTGAAGAGGGGAATGAGGAGAGTATGATCAATAGGTACAAAGTTAGAGTTAGCATGAATAAGTTGTAGTGTTTCACTGTACCATAGCGTGACTGTTGTTAACAATAATATACCGTATATTTCAAAATAGGTAGAAAAGAGGATTTTGAATGATCTCGTCACAAAGAATTGATAAATGTTCAAGGAGATGAATATGCTAATTACCCTAATTTGGTCTCTATACATTGTATATCTATATCAAAACATCATATCTCATAAGCATGTACAATTATATGTGAACTAAAAGGAAAATGGAACTAAATAAAGTAAAATAAAATGGTCCTGCAACATTTTAGCCAGAAAGAAAGGAAAACATATTTTAGGCAGAAGGACAGTGGAAAAGAGAAGACAATATTTGATGTTTAATTTTCACAGTTAATGCAAAACAAAAGCGATAGAACAAAAGTTTATGCCATTTTCACCAATAGAACCATTTTGGAATAGGATCATAAAAAATCAGGTTATAAATTACTGCTAATAATAGCTGACAATTGACTACAGCCAAATAATGAGTTCAAAAGCATTTTATCATGTTCCATTTTCAGATTTTTTAGATAGTAATTAAAACAATGAATAATTTAGTAGCAACTTTATGTTAAAGGCATAGTTAAATGCATAGATAGAACTATTCACAGGAGTTTCACAGACAATAGACCATGTGTCAGTCCTTTATTATAAATATTTTAAAAGGAATGCATCTCAAATTTTTTCCTTCAGCCATAAAATCTTTGTTTCAAGTGAGATGTTTGTTAAAGTACTTGGTATACCGACTGTCATTTAAAAATCTAAAGACATTTTTTTCAGATAGTTTTCTCAAATAGAAAAGACAACCTGGCCATTTCTTGCCAATTATGAATTTTAAAATACAGTCTTAATTATAATATGATATAATGTTCATACTAAGAATTGTGCTCATGCAAATTGAACGTATTAATCAGAAAATAATTTATGTTAACATATTCCTTAGTTCATATAGAAAAGCCACATAATACCTATATACTAACAAAGCTATTGATGTACATAGATGACCAGTCAAAATTACTTATTAATAGCCTTATAATGTGACTTGTCAGATGTGCCCATTTGCCTAAGAGTCACATAGTGAATTCAGATTCAGTCATTAGTTGGTACTCTTTCTAGCAAAATAGCTTCTATGGATTCAAGAAAGAAATGATTAGAGGATTTGCTGCACTTAAGAATTTGAGATCTGAGATAATGAATCCCCTGAGATAGAAGAAGATGATGTCCCCATGGTGCAGTTAACTCTACTGTTTGCTCAGTGGAAGGATATTGGAATCATAGCAAGGGGAGAAATTCCAGAAGCAAATTTTAAAGCAGTTTCTCTGCAAAAACATTTGAATCCTCTCTATTGCCCACTGAGCCCTGCCTCCTCACTATCCTAATGCAGACAGCATATCACATATCACATATATTAAAACAACCTTAAGTTGGACACTTATCAGTGTTTCTTATAAATACTATTATTTTACTTTGAAGAGTTTTTCTGGGGAAAGGGGATTACAGACTCTAAGACTTAGAAGTGTCTGCAGAAACTACTGTTGTCCACTTCCCAATATTAATTCTTGTTAAAATGTATATTATATATCATACTAAGTATGGTATGCATAAACCCTTTATCTTAATATAACATCATGTTAAATTGTTGGATATCTTTAATGTCTCCAAAAAAGAAATGCTAAAATTTCATTTAGATTTATCCTTTATAAATAAAATTTTTGATAACAATTAATTCTCTTTTTGCAAGTAATGTCTTTTTTTTTTTTTTTTTTTTTTGAGATGGGAGTCTCACTCTGTTGCCCAGGCTGGAGTGCAGTGGCACAATCTCCACTCACTTTAACCTGTGCCTCCCAGGTTGAAACCATTCTTGTGCCTTAGCCTCTCAAGTAGCTGGGACCACAGGCACATGCCAACACACCTGGCTAATTTTTATAATTTTAGTAGAGATGGGGTTTCACCATGTTGGCCAAGCTGGTCTTGAACTCCTGACCTCAGGTGGTCTGCTCATTTTGGCCTCCAAAAATTCTGGGATTATAGGCGTGGGCCACTGCTCCCGGCCAACTGATGTCTATTTCTTCTTGTAGATAATTAGTAACATCTTCCGCGGAATTTGACTTCAGTTTTTCTAGAGTCCTTTTAACTTCTGTTTCAAAAACTACTTTCCTTGATATTAAAGTCGTTGAAATAATCTACACCTTCTGCTCAATCCTGCAGACTTAAAACATCATCACCACTGTCTTTGGCTCATCTCTTTCCCAGAGGACACACATTTAACAAAATTTCCAAGTTAACCTCCTATGTTAATCTCTCACACTTCCCCCATCTTTTTCATTTTTACTTCTCTTATCCTACTAGAGAGCCTCATTATCTATTGCAAAGATTGTTGCAGTACATTTAACTAATTTCCTATGTTTTTGTACTCCAAGTGGTTTTTTACTTTGCTAAATGTAGTCATAAAATAAAGGTCTTACATTGTCTCAGGGTTTAAAATCCTTCAAGTTCTCATCTCCTATAGAAACACACATTCTTTAATATCAGCCTTGGTTCTGGTTCCTGGTTCTCATTCAACATAGATCCTCCTTTCAGTCTCCCATATTGCCCCATGGAATTTCAGATGGAAACATTGAATTCTTCATGATTTTGAATGTATAATTTTAAATTTCCATCATTTTTGCAAGTAGTTTGTTATAAGGTGGAAAAAGCATGAATTTTTGGTAATTGAAAGCTTTCAAATTCTAGTTCTGACGTACACTATGCAAGCTCAAGAATTAGTGAACCACATTTTCATTATCTATCAAATGTGGCTAATACATACCTTAAAGGGTTATTGAAAGATTAAATAAGACCATACATACAATATGTTTAACACTTTTACTAGCTCATGGCAGCTTTTCAATAGTTGTGAGTTCTCCTTTTTAACATGACTTTTTGATTATGATTATGATATTTCCTCAGCCAGTGATGTATTACTATATACTCCTATTAAATATTACAATTTTTATTTGCCTTTTGAAAATATTTTTAATTCTTCTTTGAGTACTTTAATTAGTCTTCTTTTTTCATTCCAAAGGCACATTCTTTTTTTTTTTTTTTTGCTTCTGTGTCTATATTATTATTATTTTTATTATACTTTAAGTTCTAGGGTACACTTGCACAAAGTGCAGGTTTGTTACATAGGTATACATGTGCCATGTTGGTTTGTTGCACCCATTAACTCATCATTTACATTAGGTATTTCTCCTAGTGTTATCCCTCCCCCTGCCCCCCAACCCATGACAGGCACCCGTGTGTGATGTTCCTCGCCCTGTGTCCAAGTGTTTTCATTGTTCAATTCCCACCTATGAGTGAGAACATGTGGTGTTTGGTTTTCTGTCCTTGTGATAGTTTGCTCAGAATGATGGTTTCCAGCTTCATCTATGTCCCTGCAAAGGACATGAACTCATCCCAAAGGCACATTCTTGAAGGTGCATGTTAGCACTTCTTGCCTTGCAGTTATTATGCTATGCAGATCTTAGGACATCTCTAATATGGAGAAAGCCACTGTTAAACCTTCTTGAGTTCTACCTTAAATATTTTTCCAAATACATTTTTAGTGACTTTAAATCTAGGGTTAAAATGCTTTGTTTTCTTCCATTTGTTATTTAGGAAAGGCCTACTTGCTTGGGGAAATAAGAACTTTAGATCACTTTCCTTGAAAGGCAATCTCAGAATTGCTCATGCTTTACACAAAAGGTAGAGCACGCTTTCTCTTTCAAGTATAATGCGTCCCTTCTCTTCTACAGAATTTTTCAAAAGTTGACTGAAGTATCCTTCATGCTGTAGCATACTGAGCAGTATATATTCCCTGGAAATGCAAAGTCCAAATAAAACCTTTCTGTGGGTTTTCCAGTCCACTGTTCTGAGTATTCTTTATTCTGAGATTTTTGCATATAATTCTTAGGAAATCCTGATTTTTCACTGTGTCTAGATTTCACTCATGCCTCTGAAATGAATGTTTTTTACAGGACTTGAAGGTAGTATATACATTAGCCAAGGACGGAGGATAATTTGAGAGAGTCAGATGAACTGTAATGGGTTTTTATAGCAAAGCTTTTGACAAAAATCGTTCTGTGTTTTGCCTTCAAAACTAGAAATTACTATATACTTCTGTATATAAGACTAAGTTAGACAAACTATACCTTAACTAATAAAAATGATCAAAGCTATTGTCTAACACCACAGAATTAGGTCATGTGTTTGTGTGTGCATGTGTATAAAATTTGAAAACATTTTTCTGGCAATCAACCAGAAATATGCCAATTTTTAAAGTTACTTAAATTTTTTTCCAAACTAGATATATAAAAGTTCAATGATTTGAGGATCTGTATCAGCACCAGATGATCTGTTATTTTTCAGCAAGTGTATCTGGTTTGCAGTTGATTCTTGTTTGAACTAACATGAGGTTTTCCTTCCAATTATTGGCTTAGATCTTGATCATACCAGAAGTTATGCCAGAAAAGTCCAAATGACCTTTTGTTTTTCTTACAAGTATTTACTTCTTCACTACACAACACCGTGTTGAACTCTCAACATATTAATTCAACACCAAGTAAATATAAAATCTATTCATTTGCTCTCATAAATTGTAACTAATTTCGTGACAAAGTTTTAAGTTTTGGGGTGTGAGTCCTAGAACTAAGTTTTAGCACTTCCAACTTTTAATGATACAGGTTTTGTACATCATTTGCATTTAACATTTACATCAGTAAAAAGACATATTGTTTGTTGAGGTAATCAAGTTGCTTTTTGTTCCAGAAATGCAAATTATTTTTTTCTCATACTGATTCTGATTCTAACACAGTTAGTTCCAAAAGGCATTCCTGGCTGTTCCAAATTGTGCACGGAAATGCTTCCAGGTTGTGTTTCATTATTAATATCACTTCCTTGTTATCTCACTGATTCGAAGACTCATTATTATAGTATGTAAAAGGAAAGTATCAGAAACTTTTTCATACTTTTTGTCCCACTATTCCACTCATTTCAAAATTTAATAATAAATTATTTAATTAAAAATACAAAATCACTGCATACTTATTTGTTAAAAAAGAATTACACTGAATTTTTAAGAAGCAATAGTATCTACATAAATTGGGGTTGATAAGCTTATGAGACTCATGATTATTCCAAAGTATAATGTGCTTCACATTGAATGCCCAGTGTAGCCACACTGCCCATTTAGACTTGGGACAACATGCAGAGAGTGATGGAATGTTTCTCAGGTGACTCTGACAGGAGGCTCATTGATGAGTGGTTGCTATACTATTTTTACAATTAGCTTGAACTAATAAATTCATTTTACTAATTTTTTTACTACTTAACACAGTTACTATCTCTGTATGTACCAACCAGTATAGAACTATTTTAATATATTTCCATAATATAATGTGCCTACTAGCCAAGTATAATCCTTGCTGAACATGTTTACAAAGAGTCTCGGAGACATAACATATTTTGCAAGAACATGTAAAGCGATATTTGATTATGAGACAAGAATTTGTTAGATAAAACCATAGCAACCTACTCTAACTGTTCAATAACTTCATTTTATGTCTACCCACTATCACTTAAAGCTGAAAATGCTCCTCACCAAGTTGCGTAATGCCCCCTTTACATTCTTATTCCGCAGGGTGTAGATAAAAGGGTTGAGTGAGGGAGTCACCACTCCATAGAAGAGGGCCATGAACTTGGGTTGATCCCTTGAGATGGAGGAGGGGGGCTGAAGGTACATGCTGATGGCTGGGCCATAAAATAAGAAAACTACAATAAGATGGGAGGAGCATGTCCCAAAGGCCTTTTTCCTTCCCTTGGAAGATTTGATCTTAAATACAGCACTTCCAATACTAGCATAGGAAGCAAGAATTAAGCATAGTGGGACAGCTAACATAAAAATGCATACCACAGAGAGTGTGAGCTCGTTAGAACCCTTTTCACCACAGGCAATCTTTATCAGAACAGGAATCTCACACACCAAGTGGTCCAGTTTATTGAGACCACACAGTGGCAATTGTAATGTGGCAGTGGCCTCTGAGACAGCATAGATTATTCCAATTAGCCACACGGTGGAAACTAAGGATACAGACGCGCTGATTCATGATGAGGGTGTAGTGAAGAGGTCTGCAGATGGCCACATAGCGATCAAAGGACATAATAGCCAAAAGCAAACATTCTGTTCCCCCCATTATGTGAAAGAAATAAAGCTGAACCGCACACCCCATATAGCTGATGGTCTTCTTAGAGCTTCCCAGGTTAAACAGCATCTGAGGGACAATGCTTGTGGTATAACACATGTCCAAAAAGGAGAGGTTGGTGAGGAAGAAATACATGGGGCTATGAAGACGAGAGTCTAACCTGGACATGAGAATGATTGTGATGTTTCCCATCACGGCTATAGGGTACATTATAAGAAGACTAGTGAACAGAGGAAGCTCTAGCCAAGGGCGGTCTGCAAAGCCTAGCAGAATAAATTCTTCAGGGTGGCTTTCATTAGTTAGTGGCATTATCTTCAATTTGTTTCACCTGTAGTAGGGATATGCCAAAGAAGGTAGAGCTATGGGTATCGACAAAACATGGTGATGCATTGATTGTCTACTTATAGATGACAGGGTGCAGTAACCTGGGGTCAGAATAACATAAAACATCTGGTATCAGGTGATCTTATTTTCCTATGGGACACTACAAATTAAAGGCAGATATCTTAATCCAGTAACCCAACCATTCTGAAATGGAATTTCTTCTTCTGTGTAAGAAGGTTGACAATAACTACCATTCTTGAGTGAGGTGAGGATTAAATACAAAGTAAAAGTGACCGTATAGTTTTCAAACTTTGAGTTGCATAAAAATCAGCTGAGAAGGTTGCTAGAATGAAATTTATTGTTTCCTATCTTTAGGTGTCTGATAGAGTAAATGTGGCCTGGGGCTGAGGAACAGGATGGTTCATTTTCAGAAACAGTGCTGCAAGGCATTACTGAAATGCTAAGAAGAATAAACATATTGAGGTAGCAATGGTAGGAGAAAAAGGAGGAGAAAACCTGGAGTCATAAGAATCATCAAGATAGCATTGTCCAGCTCCAACTAGTTAGTTAAATAATCATATCATCTCCAAGGGAGGCAAGAAGACTTTTGGATTTAAATCTATCTCAGCGATTTGAAATTGAACAAGAAAATTAAATACTTTTATTGTCTGTTTTCTCAAGTATAAATTGAGAGAGTTAACCTACAATGACAAAGTTTCCCTATGCTCAGGAATTCGATTTTGCATTCTTGGGCTTTTATTCATTACGATTTAGTTCAACCTTTGGGCATTTGATATTTTATGTTAAATTTTAGCTAACATCCATTTTGAAAAAAATTTTTTTATTCAATGAGATTATCATCTTGCTTTAATATAAGAGTTTGGATAGTTGTCATGACCCACTGATTGCACATAACTACAAATATGTCTTTTAGTTCTGAGTGACTGCAGTCAGGACAAAAGTTGATGTCCCAATTTAGGCTTAGAGACAGTCAAATCTGAAATTATTTTACATTTTCAAGACCTTTCCTTTTTTTTCAGCTAGAAAGTACATTGATATACCAACCTCAACTAGTTTAGTGAAGCAGTATTTTGAGAAAGATTAATTTTTTGCTCATATGCTTTTCTTTTAGTGGTGACATGTGTTTTATGAATATCACAATTTTCTGCAGGATGAGAAATATTCGGTTGAAAAGTTAAGATAGCATCTCAGTGACAACATTCTGAGTAACTCTGCCAGTCAATTAGTTGTTTAATGGTAACAGATTACATTTATAAGTTTATAAAGCACAGCTTCCACATTCTCTGTTTCATTACATCTTCAAAGTCATCCTGTGAGGTGTCATACAAAGCTCCTCAGGGCTAACATGTGAATGTTGCCCTTTGATTATATGCTATCTCACGCCGGAAGTGTGCAAAACAATAATAACACTCTTTCCAACTAGTCCTTAGTGAACCCTCTGTGTCAAACACCCCCATATGCTTTCTACACCATTAAATCATTTAGTATCCATCCCCAAACGCTATGACAAAGAAAATTTTACTATCCATATTTTAAGATATTGTTAATCATTTGTTTCCATACTCTGCTAATGACTAAGAACATCCTAAAGATTGAAAAGTAATTGCTGCTTTAAATGAGGTAATAAAATATTGAGACTATAAACTCAGAGTTTCAAGAGCCCCAGAAAGCATCTGTACTCGAGGGTTGTTCCTGAATGAGTGTGACCCCCTTCACATTATTTGACCTTGATTTAATCAAGATGTTATATGAGTGCATCAAATTTAGAAATATGTCTTGGCCTGAGTGCTTTTTCAGATGAAAATCCGTATTGGAAATGAAAGATGAAATAAAGGCATGATATAAACTAATTTGATGTCAAAATAAATACAGTCATACATAGCTTAACAAGAGGAATATAGTCTGAGAAATGTATTGTTAAGTGATTTTGTCATTGTGTGAATATAATAGAGTGCACTTACACAAACTTAGATGGTATGGCCTAGTACACACTTATGCTATGTGATATAGCCTATTGCTCCTAGGCTACAAACTTGTGCAGCATGTTACCTTACTGAATACTGTGGACAATCATAATTCAATGGTAAGTATTTATGTATTAAGCGTATATAAAAATAGAAAAGGTACAATAAAATATGGTATAAAAGATAAAAAATGGTATACCTATATTGGGCACTTACCATAAATGGATCTTGCAGGACTTGAAGTTGCTCTGGGTGAGTCAGTGAGTGAATGGTGAGGGAATGTGAAGGCCTAGACCACTACTGTACACTACTATAGACTTTGTAAACACTGTCTATAGCCTACACTAAATTTACTAAAAAACACTTTTCTCTGTTTAATAATAAATTCATTTTAGCTAACTGTAACATTTTTACTTCATAAACTTCTTAATTTCTTTAACTTTTTGATTATTGAATAACACTTAAACCCATCATACAGCTGTACAAAAGTATGTTCTTTGTTTATATCCTTATTCTATAAATTATTTCTATTTTTTTAAGTTTTTTAACTTTTTTGTTAAAAATGAAGACACAAACACACACATTAGCCCAGGCCTACACAGGGTCAGGATCATCAATATCATTGTCTTCCAGCTCCTTGTCCCACTGGAAGGTTTTCAGGGGCAATAACATGCATGGAGCTGTCATCTCCTATGATTATAATAACAATATCTTCTTCTGGTATACTTGCTGAAAGACTTGTGTGAGGCTGTTTTACAGTTAACTTTTTAAAAATAAGTAGGAGTATAAAAAATCATAAAAAGTATAGTATAGCAAAAATATAAACCAGTAACATATTTATTTATCATCATCAAGTATTATGTACTGCACACAATTTTATGTGTTATTCTTTTATATGACTGGCAGTGCAGGTTTGATTATACCGTCATCACTGCAAACACTTGAGTAATGTGTTACATTATAACATTATCATGGATACAGTGTCACTAGGCAACAGGAATTTTTTAGCTCCATTGTAATCTTATGGGACCACTGTTGAACACATGCATGGTCAGTCATTGATGAAAATGTCATTATGTGGTGCATGCCTGTATTCTGAGAATTGCAAATTACATTATTAAATAATTTCACTATTAGATACCTGCTATCTTTATTTAACATTGTTATGTTCACCTTTTATATTTTTTCTACCAGGGACCATCCTTGAATTTTTTAAAAAGCAATTTTAGATTTGATCCTCCATGAATTCTTCCATAATTATAACTAATTATAACTACCTTTAATGACAATATTCACTCCAGTATGTCTTCCGCAATTTTATTAAATTTATATTATTTGGGATTTTGTTATTAACTTTATTAAGTATATTTTGTCTGTGAGTGGTGGTCACCCAGAGCTCCTCCATTTCTCTGGACATTTCCCTGAAGACATCAGACTAGGAATGACTAATCAATGTGATTTAATTTTGAAGTATATTTAAGCTCTGTAATTCTATTCTTAGATCTCATATTTTTTTCTCATGTCATTCTTGTATTTTATTTCTTTTAGCTTTGGGATTTTATCTGTCTTTTGGATCTTATACTTCAAGAAATGTTTCATCACTATTTTACTACATGGGGATTTACTTAATCACAAATGTTTAAAGCCACTTTATTAAAGTGCCAGACCCATGAGTTGAGTAAATTCCTCTCCTCATGGGGTCCCAAGATAAAGCAGGAATCCTTGGAATGTTAGAAAATGACATTCTTTACTTACCACAGGCCAGAAACCCTGTATAGGGACTGTGTAGGCAAGGTAGAAGGTCAGTTCCCCAAGGGGTTTTTATTGGCTCTATAAGTCAAGTTTCATTCCTTAAAGGAAAACACACCATTCCAGTCAAAGCCTTGGTAAAATAACCAATTTCTCCAACTGTGTCCGGCTACAAAAAAAAAAAAACAGATTCTTATTGCACTTATGCAAATAAATATATTGCCATCAGTTAAGAATACTCACAAATAGTCTCCAAATTCTGGAGAAATCAGGTAGAGAGAAACAAATATGGTCCATTTTTTTTTTTCCACAGAAGTATACTTTACTCAATTGCTAAAGGCTGTAAATAGCTCAAAGTAAAAGTTTTCTTAACTCTGGAAAACAAAACAAAGGGTTAGCAACGTTTTAAGCAAAGTCAAAAAGATTAGTTTATTCTTTTAGTTTAGTTTATGCAGTTAACTCCTGTTCTGTTTGATATTCATGAACATTCCTGTTCTTCACGAGAGTTGCAAAAGTTGTTTCCTCTATTCTAATGTCACAATTTCCAAAGTTATCAGAAACCTGCATTTAAGAACATCCGTTAGAGTTGTATAGCTGACTATAAACCACCTTTTGAAGAGGATTAAAACAAGACAATTGTCTGTGTATGACAAAACTCGTTACCACAGCCACTGGCAAAAACGTGATTGACAAAGAAATTTTGGTAATGTATAAAATAATTATTCTTGTTCCACTTTATACAAATAATCAGGCCAAGTGCAATAAAGTAAATCAGTCTTATCATAATTTGTCTTCAGTAAAAATGAGAAACTGAAGTGAGAAAAATTATGTTTCAAGAAGTATGGTACACTTGTTATTAAATTCTAGTCTCATGAGTTGTTTTTAAGTTTGTTTCTACAATTTAGGCTAAACCTGCTTATTCCTGTGAACCAACCAGTGATCTTAGACTGTTACTCAGAAGATACAAGAGGTTTGGGTAATGTAAAAATCTGGACCAATATTCTAATCATGGGCACATATTGGAATCATCTGGCAACCCTGTATCAGCTTGGTTTTAACAGTTGCTCAGTTCATGGGAAGCCTTTAAATTTAGTTTACCTGGAATAATTTTACTTATTTTGCTTTGCTGCTGTGGAATACATTGCATTTGTACTCTTTGCATACGGATGCAGAATATGCTTAGTGAATGTTTTCTTAAATGGAACACTTATCAATCTTTCAGATAGCACCTCTTGTTGAAACTCAGAGTTATGAATGGCTCTCATCATACCAATGCTTTTTGACGAGCTCCTCTCTACCCCAAATACGAGAGACTCTAATTGTTAGGCAGGAATATCATTGCTCCTCTTAAGCCTGAAGAAGCTACAGAAGGAGATGGATCTTTGTCCCTCTCCAACCCTTAGGATTAAGGGTTCTCTTGTAAAGGGGAGGGAGGAAATGTCAGAGGCATGTGAGCCAGAGCAGCTCCATCTTGAATAGCAGCTGGGTAAAATGAGGTTGAAACCTACTGGGCTGCATTCCCAGATGGTTAAGGCATTCTAAGTCACAGGATGAGACAGAAAGTCAGTACAAGATACAGGTCATAAAGACCTTGCTGATAAAACAGATTACTCTAAAGAAGATGGCCAAAACCCACCAAAAACAAGATGGCGATGAGAGTAACCACTGGTCATCCTCGCTGCTACACTCCCATCAGTGCCATGACAACGTCAGGAAGTTGCCCTATATGGTAGAGTACATTTGTTTACAAATGCCATGGTAACATCAGGAAGCTACCCTGTATGTTCTAGAAAGGGGAGGCATGAATAATCCACCCCTTGTTTAACATATCATCAAGAAATAACCATAAAAATGGGCAACCAGCAGCCCTTGGGGCTGCTCTGTCTATGGAGTAGCCAGCCATTCTTTTACTCCTTTACTTTCTGAATAAACTTGCTTTCACTTAAAAAAGATAAATAAAGTACCAGACCCTATTCCTGTTGATGTCTCCTGTTTTATCTCCACTTCCATCTTCATTCTAGTGTAGCTTATACTTCATTTTTACCATACACAATATTTTCTTTATATGTACTGCACTTGTAGACTTTCTATATAGTAAAAGATCATAAGAAGAAATAAAAGTTATTTTTATCTGACATTAGGAATCTGCATGAAACACACAGACAAATCAATCCATCCAATTTTGAACATATATTCTAAAAATCCACCTGATTGAAAGAAGGCTTCATATTTGTTTTGGGCATTTAATATTTCTCAGATATAGTGTATAAATCTCCCTCTCAGTCTCTCACTGAAACCAAATTTAAAATCATAATGATTTTAAATGGGTTTAATGTTTTTAAATTTGGTTTCAGTGAGAGATTGAGAGATAGATTAATTACAAAGAGAAATCTAGTTGCTTCTTAGAACCACTGAGCAGCTGTTTCCAAAGGTTAGAAAAGGCTCCCTGAAATGAAATGCTCTCTGCCTTTCAGATGTATATTAGGCAGTGGCAGTATGATCTACACATATTTCAATTTCCCTAAGAATGCATGGACTTGAAAACGTGCCTTTTTACTCACCTTTTGATAAATATCTTTCAATAAAAAGGAATTATGAAGGAATACACTTGAATTTTTCAAACGTTCAGAGGATGGATAAACTGTAGTATACATGAGTATTTAAGAATTAGCTTCACAACTTAGGTTTTCAATTGTTACAGGGTTCCAAAGAGAAGAAAACATGGGTTAGGAAGACAATAGTAGAAAATATCAGAATGCTTTGTGGATGTGTTATTTGTAAGCTCTTCCTGAGACCTCTTGGGCATTGTTTTCCAACAGGCCATTAATCCTTATCCCAGATGAGGAGTTAGCAGAGAAAATTCCTTGGGACAGAGATCTCTATGGAAATGCTACTTATGTACAATTAGTTTCCTACTGAACTGAGGTTGGTAGGAAGTCTCTTCTGTTGTCAGATGTGTTTTAAAATACATTTACTCAATTTCCCAAAACAGTAGACACTAATTTTAAATGAGATGCAATTAGAGATGAGCTAGTTTGAATAAATGATTCTGGGGAACTTAAATGAGAATTCCCTGAATACCTTACCTCATTAACTTCTAGACTACCTCACATAAAATTTAATCATTTCTAGTTGTAAGAATAAAGGGGCACAAAAATGAGTTGAAAAGGAAGAAAGATAATAAAAAGATATTTCCAATGAGAAGGAATCAAGTGATAGTTTAAAACATTTCATAATATTTAATGCTTTCATATTAAAATGATGAAATGATAATTTCTTCACTCTCACCAAGCACATACCACATAACATTAGGCAGATACACAGATAACTTTGAGATTTTAAAAATTACATACAAAATGCATAAATACATTATGTTGAAAAACAAATTCAAGTGCATGGGATAGCAAATACAAATTTAAAGGGTTTTTTTTTTAAGATGGAGTCTTGCTGTGTTGCCCAGTCTGGAGTGCAGTGGTATGATCTCAGCTCACTGCAACCTCTGCTGTACAGTTCAAGCGATTCTCCTGCCGCAGCCTCCCAAGTGGCTGGGATTACAGGCATTCCCTTTGATGACCTACTGTCATGGTCTGTTGTCCCTCTCCTTTCTTTAAAGGTAACCGTTAGTGTCATAAGGGTGTGCATCTTTCCACATTACATATGTGCTGGATATTTTCCACTCCCCCTTCCTTCCCCTGCCCCAGATTCACTCTCTATCCAACCATGTTTGTTTCTACCCTGTGTTGTGCCTCTAGAGGCGAAATCAAGAGAATTCCATGATATTTGACTTCTGGTTGTGTTCAGCCAATGAGTCACCAGCTGAGGATTAGAGTGAGGCAGCAGCTAGTTTGAAGTATTTTCCCCTACCCTCTCCTTCAGATGGGACAAATGAGGCTACTTGTATTGCTCAACCAAAGATCACAGGTCATGGATGTAGCCACGTACAGGTTCTCTCTCTTTCTGCTTTGTAATAGTACTTTCTCCCTTTGCTACTTCAGGCCTTGTGTTGGTTGCTAAGCCTCCCAACTGTTGCTAGATTCAGAGTAGTCCATATATAATACATATACAGAAATCCCTTGTTGATGTTCCTAAATCCTTCTCACAACTTTGTATTTACTTCTTTTGTTAAACCTCTTTCAGTTCCCATAGGAGCATGCCATCTATTTTCTGCTGGGACCATAGGTGACTGTAACTTTCCATTACAAACAAAGGTCATTTCCTGCTTTAGGACTTTTGAATTAGATGTTTTTAGGTCTAAAATGCTCTTTCTTTGATTTTATCATGACTAGCTCCTTTCTGTGTTTCAGGTTGATCTCAAATGTCACCTAAGAAGGAATATCTAATATGAATATACTACACAGTATCTCTATATCATATTCTCTTTTAATTTTCTGCAAAAGAATGAAAGCTTTCTTAGTTATTTTGCTTTTGAAGTCTCCCCCTCTAGTATGCATAGTTTTTGACAATAGCAACTTAAATAATACAATTAAATCATCTTGAACATATTGTTACTTGATTTTTACATACATATGTACACGCACACACACGCACACACACTTTTTGTCATTTCAGAGACAATGACTGATAAAGGAATTTTTTTCTTTTAAACACATCTCTAGCTTATCTACTTTTGCTGAATTCCATAAACTTTGGTATGTTGTGTTTCTATTTTCATTCTTTGCAAATTATTTGCTATTTTCCCTTGTGATTTCCTCTGAGCCATTCATTATTTAGGAATGTGTTGTTTCATCGCCACTTACTTGTGTATTTCACAATATTTTGCCTGATATTGATTTCTAATTTTATTCCATTGTGGTTAGAGGACATCCTTTACATTATTTTAATCTTTTAAATGTATTGTGATTTGCTTTATGACCTTATAGACTAATCTGTAGAATGTTTCATGTGCCCTGAGTAATATATGTATTCTACTACTATTGGGTGGAGTTTTCTGTAGAGGTCAATTAGCTGTAGTTAGTTTATAATGCTGTTCACATCTTCTATTTCCTTGTGGACCTTTATCTAATTGTTCTATTGTTATTGAAAGTGGGATGCTGACATTGAACTATAATTATGGAATTATCTATTGCTCCAAACAGTTCTGTTAGTCTTTGTTTTATGTAGTTTGGAGATCTGCTGCAAGGTGCATATGTACTTATAATTGATGTATCTTCTTGATGGACCAGCGATTTTATCATCATAAATTGTCCTTCTTTGTTTCCAGTAATAATTCTTGTCTTTTTGTTGATATTGTGTAATATCAGTATAGCCATCCATTAGCACTCTATCTTGCTTACTCTTTGAATGGAATACTTTTTTCATCTTTTCAGTTTCAACCTATTTGCATTTTTGAATCTAAAGTGAATATATTGTTGACAGTATATCATTGGATTGTCTTTTTAAATAAACCTTGTGAATCTCTTCCATTTTTTAAATGAATAGACTATTTTTCAGAAGCTTTAGGTTTACAAAAAATTGAATGGAAGGTGTAGAGAACTCACATGTAACCCCTTTTACTCCCTCCCCCAGAGTTTCTTTTATTATTAACAACTTGCATTCATGTGGTACATTTGTTATAATTGATAAGCCAATATTAATACGTTATTAGTAACCAAATTCCATAGTTTACATTAGGGTTGATGGTGTGTGTTTTACATTCTATGGGTTTTGACAAATGTTTAATAACATGTATTCCCCCATTCAGTATCATAAAGAATGGTTTCACTGCCTTAAAAATTCCCTGTTCTCCTTCCATTCATCATTTCCTCCCCTCCTCCCCGGGAGCCCCTGACAACCACTGATTTTTTATTGTTTCCATAACTGTGCTTTTTCCAGAATATCATACAATTGAAATCATATATAATATAGACTTTTCTGACTGGCTTCTTTGACTTAGTAATATGCATTTAAATTTCTTCCAGGTCTGGGCTTTACAACTCATTTTTTATAATTGAATAATATTCCATTCTATGAATGTACCACAGTCTGCTTATTCATTCATTTATTAAAGGACTTTTTTTTTTTTTTGCTTCCAAGCTTTGGAAATTAGGAATAAAGCTACTGCAAACATTTGTGTACAGGTTCTGTGTGGACATAACGTTTCAGATTATTTGGGTTAATACCAGGACACGTGAGTGCTGGATTCTATGGTTAAGATGTTTAGTGTTGTATGAAACTGTCCAGTTGTCCTCTAGAGTGGTTGTACACTTTTGGATTTCTGTAATCAGTGAATGAGAGTTCCTGTTATTTATCTCTTTGTCAACATCTGATGTTTTCAGTGGTTTGCTATGGTTGATAATGTCTCAGATTTCTTTAGGCTGTTTTATTTTTCTTCATTCTTTTTTCTTTTTATTACTCTGACTAGATAATCTCAATTGACCTATCTTGTAGTTTGTTGATTCTTCCTTCTGCTTGTTAAAATCTGGTGTTCAGGTCTTCTGCTGCATTTTTTATTTCCATCACTGTACTTTTTCATCTCTAGAATTTGACTTGGTTCTTTAACAACAAATAATGTCTATCTCTTTAATAATTTTCTCTATTTAGTGAGAAATAGTTGTCATATCTTCCTTTAGTTCTTTAAACATGGTTTATTTCAGCTCTTTGACCCTATTTTTAAAGTAGCTGATGTAAGCCTTTGTCCAACAAGTTCAACACCTAGATTTGCTGCTATTGATTGCATTTCCCCCTCCTTTTATGACCCATACTTCCTGTGTCTTTCTTCACTTGTATTATAATTTTATGTTGAAAACTAGATACTTCATTTCATTTATTTTTATTTTTAAAACTTTTATCTTAAGTTCAAAGGTACATACGCAGGTCATGGGGGTTTGTTGTAGAGATTATTTCATCACCCAGGTATTAAGCATAGCATCCATTAGTTATTTTTCCTGATCCTCTCTGTCCTCCCATCCTCCACCCTCCACCAGGCCACAGTATGTATTGTTTCCCTCTATGTGTCCATATGTTTTCATCATTTAGCTCCCAGTTACAAGTGAGAACATGTGGTATTCAATTTTCTGTTACTGTGTTAGTTTGCTAAGGATAATGGCCTCCAACTCCATCTATGTTCCTGAAAGGGACATGATCTCATTCTTTTTTATGGCTGCATAGTATTCCACGGTGTGTATGTACCACATTTTCTTTATCGAGTCTATCATTGATGGGCATTTAGGTTGATTCCATGTCTTTGCTATTGTGAGTAGTGCTCCAATAAACATATGTATGCATGTGTTTTCACAATTGAACAACTTATATTCCTTTGGGTGCTTACCCAGTAATGAGATTGGTGGGTCAAATGGTATTACTGTCTTTAGAACTTTGAGGAATTGCCACAATGCCTTCCACAATGGTTGAACTAATTTACACTCCCACCAACAGTGTATACATGTTTGTTTTTCTCCATAACCTTCCCAGCATCTGTTCTTCTCTGACTTTTTAATAATAGCCATTCTGACTGGTGTGATAAGGTATCTCCTTGTGGTTTTGATTTGCATTTCTCTAATGATCAGTGATGTTGAGCTTTTTTCATATGATTGTTGGCTGCATGTATGTCTTCTTTTGAAAACTGTCGGCTCATGTTCTTTGCTCACTTTTTAATGGGGTTGTTTTTCTTTCTTATAAATTTGGAAAACTAAATATTTTAAATACTAGAAATGGCAACTGTGGAAACCAGATTCTCCCTGTCTCACTAGAATTTGTTGTTGCTGCTTATTAATGTAGTTGTTGCTGCTTATTAATGTAGTTGTTGCTTGCTTGTTTAGTGAATACTCCCAAATAATTCTCTAAAGTCTGCCTTCTTTGTGGTGTAGGGCCATTAAAATCTGTACTCAGGTAGTCTAGTGGCCAGCAAATAATTGGACAGAAATTTCTTTCAATGCCTGGGACTAATAAATCTTCCAGTTTCTGTCAAAGACCTCTATGTTCATATTGAGGCATGACTCTGACACCTAGTCAGGCAGTTCACATCTCTACCTTAGCCTCCACTTACTTCTTCCTGAAATACTGAAGGTCAGCCAGAGACAAGAGTTTAGAATCTTCTCAGTTCTTGCTTGAGCATTTATAGAGTCCTGAATCTGAACACAGCCATATGCATATACATGAAATTCCTGGCATATGGCAAAGATTTTCAAAATCCCTATAGACATCCCATTCCTTACATTTTTTAAGCTCTTTTATTGCTTTATGGTCTGCCCCAACTTTTATCAATTGCTTTAGTCAGAAGTGAAGTTAAAGCAGTCACTTGAAATTATTTTCAACAAATACCTGCTGAGAAAATGCTTTTTGCATTGGTCGAGGTCTGAGTCATGGTCAAATACAGACAGACTCATGAATGAAGTCTTCCAAAAAGCCCCAGCCAGGTAAATTAAAGACATATCTTTATAAGTTTATACATATATCTTTATAAAAGGTATATAAAATATTTCACTTTTCATTCTTTTTTGGTATTTTGGTATTTCAGGAGATTTGATTTTTTTTGTTTTGATGCTTATATTTACACATTAGTCCCTCTTTTAGGCATCATTGATTGGTTTTCTAAAATGAGCACTATATTTATTTATTTATTTAATTTTTCAATATATTATAGTTGTACATATTTTGGGGTAGATGTGTTTTCTTACACATATACAATGTGTAATGATTAAATCAGAGTGATTATAATATCTATCACCACAAACACTTTGTGTTGTGAAAATTACAATTTTTTTCTAGCTATTTTGAAATATACAATATATGTTATGCTAATATTAATAAATGTTAGTTGTATTTTCTCTACTGTATTATCAAATACTAAAAATTATTCCTTGTATCTAACTCTATTTTTGTACCCACTAACAAACTCTTTTTCATCTGTTTTTCCTTGCATCCATTTGCAGACTCTGATAAGCACCATTCTACCCTTGACCTTCATAAGATCCACTTTTTTTAGCTCCTGCATACCAGTGAGAACATGATATATTTGTATTTCTGTTCATGGTTTATTTCACTTAACATAATGACTTCCAATTTTATCCATGTTGCTACTAATGAAAGGATTTCATTATTTTTTATGGTTGAATGATATTCCATCATGTATATATATTACATTTTCTTTATCCATCCTTCTCTTGCTAGACACTGGTGTTGCATTCTTTGTGTGTTTCTATAGGTGAAGTGAGGTTCTTTTTTTTCTTTCCAATTTTTTTTTTTGCTTTTTTTTATTTTTAATTTTTTTTATTATACTTTAAGTTTTAGGGTACATGTGCACAACGTATTTCAGGTTCAAGTGGTACATGTGCAGGTTTGTTACATCAGTAAATTTTTTGTTATGGGGGTTTGGTGTACAGATAATTTTGTCACCCAGGGAATTAGCATTATACCCATTAAGTAGCTTTTCTTTTTTTTTAAACTTTAATTTTAGGTTCAGGGTACCTGTGCAGGTTTGTTATATAGGTAAATTGTGTGTCACATGGGTTTGGTGTACAGATTATTTTGTCACCCATGTAATAAGTGTGGTAACCAATGGGTTGGTTTTGATCCTCACCTCCCCCATCATAGGCCCCAGTTTCTATTGTTCTTTTCTTTGTGTCCTTATGTACTCAATATTTAACTCCCAATTATAAGTGAGAACATGCCATACTGGGGTTTCCATTCCTTCACCAATTTGCTTAGGATGATAGCTTCCAGCTCCATCCCTATTACTGCAAAGACCAAAGTCTCGTTTTTTATAGCTGCATAGTATTCTGTGGTATATATGTTTTCTGTATCCAGTCCACCACTGATGGACAACTAGGTTGATTCTGTGACTTTGATATTGTAAATAGTGCTGCACTGAAAATCTGCATGCATATTGCTTTATGGCAGAATGATTTATATTACTTTGGTTATACACCTAGTAATGGGATTGCTGGATCAAGTGGTAGTTCTATTTTAAGTTATTTGAGAAATCTCCAGACTTCTTTCTACAGTGGCTGAACTAGTTTTCATTTCCACCAGTGGTATATAAATGTTCCCTTTTCTCCACCACCTCACCAGCAAATGTTATTTCCTAACTTTTTAATAGTAGCCATTTTGACCGGTGTGGGACAATATCTCATTGTGGTTTTGATTTGCATTTCTCTGGTGATTAGTGATATTGAACTTTTTAATATACTTGTTAGATGTGTATATCTTCTTTTGAGAAGTGTCTGTTCATGCCATTTGCTCGTTTTAAAAATAGAGTTGTTTGTTTTTCACTTTTTTATTTGTTTAAGTTCCTTATAGATTCTGGATATTAGACCTTTGCCAGATGCATAGTTTGCAAATATTTTCTCCCATTCTGTAAGTTGTGTGTGTATTCCGTTGATAGTTTCTTTTGCTATGCAGAAGCTCTTTAGTTTAATTATATTCTATTTGTCAATTTTTGGTTTTGTTGTGATTGCTTTTGGAGTCCTCGTCTTGAAGTCTTCGTGAAAGTCGATGTCCAGAATGGTATTTCCTAGAATTTCTTCTATTGTTTTTATACATTTGGGTTGTACATTTAAGTCTTTAATCTATCTTGAGTTTATTTTTGTGTATGGTAAAAGGAACAGGTTCAATTCCAGTCTTCTACATATGGCTAGCCTGCTATGCCAGCACTATTTATTGAAGAGTTTCTGGCAGGCAGCAGGCAGCATATAATTTGGTCTTGTTTTTAATTCATTTAACCATTGTATGTCTTTTAAATAGAATGTAGTCTGTTTACATTCAATTTTATTTTTGATAGTTCATGCCTTAGTACTGCCATTTTGTTACTTGTTTTCTAATTTCGTAATTCCTCTCTTCCTTCCTTCCTTCCTTTCCTTCCTTCCTTCCTGCCTTCCTCTCTTTCTCTCTTTCCCCCTCTCCCTCCCCTTCCCCTTCCCCTTCCTTCCTTCCTTCCTTCTTTCCTTTTTTCCTTGTTATTTTCCTCTGGTAGTATGTTTTAATTTGTTGCTTTTTATTGTTAGTGTATCCATTATAAGTTTTTGCACTGTGGTGTCCATGAGGCTTACGAAAAGTATCCTATAATATAACATGTAGTATAAAACTGATAGCAACTTAACTTTGCTCTCATAAATAAAAACAAACTTCCAACTAAAAACTTATACACATTAACTCCATTCTTCACCCATATTTTGAATTTTGATGTTGCAATTTACATTTTTTATATTGCCTATCTCTTAAAAATTGTTGTAGTTATTATTTTAAATTGTTTTTAGTTTTCTTACTAAATAGGTAAGTGGTTTAAATATAATGACTTCATTTTTAGTATGACAATCACATTAACATTCTTTCAGTTTGGTGAACTTCCTTTAGCAGTTCTCATAGGACAGGTTTGGTAGTGATAGAATGAGCATTATTGAAATAGTTAATAACCTCTTCTTTCCTCCATTTCTCCAGCATCTATTTCAAAATGACAATTGATACAATATGTACTTTTTATTTATACAATATATACATACATACTTTTTACACAATTTATTTATACAATATATACATATTTATACTCTATATATATACAATTTATACAATATATACTTTTTAAAAGTTTGGAATGTTGTTATCCTCCTCTAGATAGAATTTATTTTTGCTTTTGGGAAGTAATTAAAGTAGGAAAACATCCCTAATTTTGAATGGGGTGGATAGAATTGGGACATACATTGCTGGTAGGAGCGTAAAATGACACAGACACTTTGGAACACTGTTTTGTGGTTTCTTTAAAAGTTACACATACCTTATGGCCCATTCATTCAACTCTTAAATATCTGTTCAAGAGAAGTAAAAACATTTGCTCAAATGAAGACCTGTGCTGAATATTTATAGCCACTTTTTTCAAAATACTGTGGCGAAAACCTAGAATTACTGTAAGTATCTGTCAACGGATGTAATGAATAAATTATACTATATCCTTATTATTGAACATTACTAGTAATGAAAACAAAACAATGTGCTGGCCTGCAACCATTTTAGATGAATTTCAAAATATTTTTGCTGAATGCAGAAAGCAAGACTCAAAATAATACACACTATGTAGATCTATCACTAAGAATTCAAGAACATGCAAACTTATCTATGAGGGCATAAATTAGAGTAGTAGTTGACTAAGTCTGAAATCAAAAGACAAAATAGATTTTGGAGAGTGATGGAAATGTTCTCTACCTTGATTGAGGTATTGGTATCATGGGTATATACAACTATAAAAATACTGACTTGCATACTTTAAATTATGTAGTTTATTTTGCATATGCTATCATCAGCAAAGGTGATTATATACTCTAGATTGCAGTCATTTTTAGGGCTGGCCTATATTCAGTCTATGGTTATTCATAGGTTGCAGCCATTCACCCATTCTAGCTGAAAGTCTTGGGTATTTATATGGGCCAAAATTTCCATTATTTGTCTCCCCAGAAATGTAAAATCATATAAGCCCTGTTTCTTAGCCTCTTAGTCACCAGATTCTGTTCTGATGTATAGCTGGTGCAAAAAACAAATATCTTTTTAAAAATATTTTTATTATACTTTAAGTTCTAAGGTACATGTGCACAATGTGCAGGTTTGTTACATAGGTATACATGTGCCATGTTGGTTTGCTGCACCCATCAACCTGTCATTTACATTAGGTATTTCTCCTAATGCTATCCCTCCCACAGCTCCCCACCCTCTAACAGGCCCCAGTGTGTGATGTTCCCCATCCTGTGTCCAAGTGTTCTTATTGTTCAATTCCCACCTATGAGTGAGAACATGTGGTCTTTGGTTTTCTATCCTCGTGATAGTTTGCTGGGAATGATGGTTTCCAGCTTCATTCATGTCCCTGCAAAGGACATCAACTCACCCTTTTTTGTGGCTGCATAGTATTCCATGGTGTATATGTGCCACATTTTCTTAATCTAGCCTATCATTGATGGACATTCCAAGTCTTTTCTATCATGAATAGTGCTACAATACACATATGTGTCCATGTGTCTTTATAATAGCATGATTTATAATCCTTTGGGTATATACCCAGTAATGGGATCACTGGGTCAAATGGTATTTCTAGTTCTAGATCTTTGAGGAATCACCACACTGTCTTCCACAATGGTTGAACTAATTTACGTTCCCATCAACAGTGTAAAAGTGTTCCTATTTCTTCACATCCTCTCCAGCATCTGTCCTTTCCTGACTTTTCAATGATTGCCATTCTAACTGGTATGAGATGGTATCTCATTGTGGTTTTGATTTGCATTTCTCTGATGACCAGTGATGATGAGCATTTTTTATGTGTCTGTTGGCTGCATAAATGTCTTCTTTCAAGAAGTGTTTGTTCATATCCTTTGCCCACATTTTGATAGGGTTGTTTATTTTTTTCTTGTATATTTGTTTAAGTTCTTTGTAGATTCTGGATATTAGCCCTTTGTTAATTGGGTAGATTGCAAAAATTTTGTCCCATTCTGTACATTGCTTGTTCACTCTGATGGTAGTTTCTTTTGCTGTGCAGAAGCTCTTTAGTTTAATTAGATCCCATGCATCTATTTTGGCTTTTGTTGCCATTGCTTTTGGTGTTTTAGTCACGAAGTCTTTGCCCATGCCTGTGTCCTGAATGGTATTGCCTAGGTTTTCTTCTAGGGTTTTTATGGTTTTAGGTCTAACATTTAAGTCTTTAATCCATCTTGAATTAATTTTTGTATAGGGTGTAAGGAATGGATCCAGTTGCAGCTTTCTACATGGTGGCTAGCCAGTTTTCCCAGAAAATATTATAAACAACTCTATGGAAATAAACTAGAAAATCTAGAAGAAATTGATAAATTCCTGGACACATACACCCTCCCAAAACTAAACCAGGGAGAAGTTGAATCTCTGAATAGACCACTAACAGGTTATGAAATTGAGGCAATGATTAATAGCCTACCAACCAAAAAAAGTCCAGAACGAGATGGATTCACAGCCGAATTCTACCAGAGGTACAAGGAGGAGCTGGTACCATTCCTTCTGAAACTATTCCAATCAATAGAAAAAGAGAGAATCCTCCCTAACTCATTTTATGATGCCAGCATCATCCTGATACCAAAGCCTGTCAGAGACACAACAAAAAAAAAGAGAATTTGTATTTCTGTGGGATCAGTAGTGATATCTCCTTTATTATTTTTTAATAGATCTATTTGATTTTTCTCTTTTCTTCATTATTAGTCTTGCTAGCAGTCCATCAATTTTGTGGATCTTTTCAAAATCCACCTCCTGGATTAACTGATTCAGATTTTCTATTTTTTCATGATTCATTGTTGTTATGTTTCTAGAAATCTAACCATTTCTTCTAGGTCATCCTATTTGTTGGTGTAAAATTGTTCGCAGTATTCTTTTATGATCTTTTGTACTTCTGTAGTTTCAATTTTAATGTCTCCTCTTTCATTTCTTATTTTGTTAGAGTCTTCTTTTTTTTCTTAGTTGGTCTGCTAAAGTTTTGTCAATTGTTTTTATCTTTTCAAAAACTGAACTGTTAGTTTTGCAAATGTGTTCTTTTGTTTTCTAGTCTCTTACTTATTTCTGCTCTGATCTTTGTTATTTCCTTCCTTCTGCTAACTTTGGGATTAGTTTGCTCTTCTCTTTTTCTAGCTTCTTGAAATGTAACATTAGGTTGTTTGTTTGGGATCTTTCTTCTTTTTTAATATCGGCATTTATTACTATAAACTTTCCTCCTGCTAAGAACTTCTTTTGTTACATCCCATAAGTTGTGGTACGTTGCATTTTCATTTTCATCTGTCTTAAGATATTTTTTAATTTCCCTTTTGATTTCTTCATTAACCCTTTGTTTATTCAAGAGCGTGTTGGTTAATTTCCACGTATGTAATATTTTCAAATTTTATCGTATTATTTATTTCTATTCATTTCTACTTTCATACTTTTGTGGTCAGAAAAGATACTTGATATGATTTCAGTCTTCTTAAAACTGTTGAGTCTTATTTTGTTACCTTATTTGGATAATGTCCCATTTGCACTTGAGAAGAATGAATATTCTGTTGCTGTTGGATGGAATGTTCTATATATGTCTGTTAGGTCCACTTGGTCTAAAGTGTATGTCAAGTCCAGTGTTTCCTTATTGATTTTTGTCTAGATGATATATCCACTGTTGAAAGTAAAGTATTGAAATCCTCTGCTATTATTGTATTGCAGTCTATCTCTTTTCAGGTCTACTAATGCTTTCTTTATATGTATAGGTGATCTTATATTAGGTGCATATATATTTACAATTGTTAAGTCCTTTTCATGAATTGACCCTTTTATCATTACATAATGACCTTCTTTGTCTCTTTTAACAGTTTTGGACTTAAAGTTCATCTCATAAAAGTACAGCTACCCTTGTCTTTTGCTTTCCACTTGCATGAAATAATTTTTTCAATCAATGTGTGTTCTTCAAGTTAAAGTGAACCTCTTACAGGCAGCCTACGTCTGCATATAGTTTTTCATTTTCTTTCCAATGCAAAGCATTTTAGTAGGTTGTCAAATATACAATTATTAGAAATATCTAAATATTACCTGTAAAAACTAGTATATCACATTAGATAATTCTATAAAATAAGGAAACACAAATCACACATTGCCACAACCTCTGCAGTCCAATAATATCCCCCGTTGATAGTACAAATTACAAATACATTTTTAAAATAAAGACATGATTTCGACATTTAAACCAAAGTAACTATGGCTAACCTAAATACATTCATTCATCAAGTACAATAAATTAAGCATTGCTACTTATAGTCACTAATAACAAAATTTTAGGTTCAATTTTACCTAAAATTTCATAAATCTTCCAATACAGTTCCCATAGTAAAGTGTCTTTGTGTGTGCCATTTTAATTTATATGCGGTTGCATCATATATCAGACTTAAGACTATTTCACTTCATAATTAAATTGTTCATACATATATATTGAAAGTGAACACCCGGCCAAAATTTAATCCCAATGATGACAAAATGTAAAATTGTTTTAAATTCTTGAATGCATATACTGATTTGTTTAATTGCCTGCATACTACTTTTTTTAATTAGAGACTATCAAAGTAAGTAATAAGAATTTAAATATTAACTCAAAAAAAGATGAAGCCTTCAACCTTCCTACAATAGTAACAAGCATTTTAAATAACAATACAAGGAGTCTGTAAGCTAAAAAGTAACTTCATATTCATTGCAAAACTTAAAATACCAGTGAATTGAAGATAAGATTGAGGTCTAAAATATTTGTACTGTATTGTAAAATACAATTTAAAATGTGCAGTTAATTTGCTTGTGGACATGTAATGGAATGTTTTTCAACAGTAATGTTATGTTAAACACACTTTAAATGGTCACTCTAAGCAAACATAACCTTACTAGCAAGAAAAGCGAAAAATTAAGGCTTTCATGCTATCTATATCTACTACACAAAGTCAAAAGTCAAATAGAGCTTACAATGTGGCAAAATATTTCTAACTTCTGTGACATTAGTTGCTTCACCTCAACTCAATACTTATCATCTTATCTTTATACAAACTCAAATGCTAGTTATCTTTACTATCCATAAATACAAATTAAACTAAGGAGCTTCCGCACAGCAAAAGAAACTATAAATAGAATAAACAGACAACTTACGGAAGGTGAGAAAAGATTCACAAACTATGCACACAACAAAGGTCTAATATCCAGAATCTATAAGGAACTTAAATCAACAAACATAACCCCATTAAAAAATTAACAAATGACAAAGGATGAACAGACACTTCTCAAAAGAAGACATAAAGGTGACCAATAAACATATGGAAAAAATTGTTCATCATTACTAATCATCAGAGAAACGGAAATCAAAACCACAATGAGATTCCATCTCACACCAGTCAGAATGGCTGCTATTTAAAAGTCAAAAAACAACAGATATTGCGGAGGCTGCAGAGAAACGCGAACGCTTATACACTGTTGGTGAGAATGAACATTAGTTCAGCCACTGTGGAAAGCAGTTTGGAGAATTTTCCAAAAGAACTAAAAACAGAGCTACCATTGGACCCAGCAATTCCATTACCGCGTATTTAGTCAAAGGAAAATATATCATTATACCAAAAGGACACACGCACTCATGTTCATGGCAGCACTATTCACAATAGCAGAGACATAGAACCAACCTAGGTGCCCATCAGTGGTGGATTGGATAGAGACAATGTGGAGTTCCGGCAGAGACCCGGGTGAGACGCGCTGACCATGGGCCTGCGGAGGGGCTGGGGGTTCAGGACCTCCCGCAGCCTCTGCCCTGCAGGCTCCAGGTGCCCTCGCTGTGGCTCCCCTCGCGGGCCCAGGCCTGAAGAAGCCGCGAACCTCTCTTCCCTACCCCACCTCGGTGACAGATGGCAGCTCCTCTCTCAGCCCAGACCCCGCCAGCCTCCATGTCTCCCGGCCCAGCCCTGCGGGGCCTAAACTAAGCCCCTGCCGAGCTGCTAGGATGCAGCGCATTTGAGTGGCTGCGGGCGTGGGGGGCCGGGAAGCATGGCGACCGCCCCAACTCGCAGCGGAGGCCGTTAGGGTGTGGAGGGCGCGGGAAGGTGGGTCGCCTGCCACTGGGGCGCGGGCAGATCGGACCGCTCTGTCCCAACTGGTCGAGACCGACCTAGTCCTGACGACAGGAACAACGGCATTAACAACGGCCGGAAGGTGAGCGGTGTCCCAGACAACGACGGATAGCGGCCACCTGGCCACTGGTCTTCCTTCTCTACCAGACCTGTATGTGGGAAGAGAGAAGTGGTGGAACAACAGGCCACATTTGGCGCATTGGAGATGAAATTCTTGGTTGAAAATTCTTTTCTTTAAGAATGTTGAATATTGGCCCCCACTCTCTTCTGGCTTGTAGGGTTTCTGCAGAGAGATATGCTGTTAGTCTGATGGGCTTCCCTTTATAGGTAACCTGACCCTTCTCTCTGGCTGCCCTTAACTTTTTTTCCTTCATTTCAAGCTTGGAGAATCTGACAATTACGTTTCTTGGGGTTGCTTTTCTCGAGCAGTATCTTAGTGGTGTTCTCGTATTTCCTGAATTTGAATGTTGGCCTGTATTGCTACCTTGTGGAAGTTCTCCTGGATAATATCCTGAAGCTGTTTTCCAGCTTGGTTCCATTCTTCTCGTCACTTTCAGGTAAACCAATCAAACATAAGTTTGGTCTTTTCACATAGTCCCATATTTCCTGGAGGCTTTGTTTGTTCCTTTTCATTCTTTTTTCTCTAATCTTGTCTTCACACCTTATTTCAGTAAGTTGGTCTTCAGTCTCTAATATCCGTTCTTCTGCTTGATCGATTTGGCTATTGATCCTTGTGTATATCTTACAAAGTTCTCGTGCTGTGTTTTTCAGCTCCTCAGGTCATTTATGTTCTCCTCTAAACTGGCTAGTCTAGTTAGCAGTTTCTGTAACCTTTTATCAAGGTTCTTAGCTTCCTTGCATTGGGTTAGAACATGCTCCTTTAGCTCACAGGAGTTTGTTATTACACACCTTGTGAAGCCTACTTCTGTCATTCATCAATCTCCTTCTCCAGTTTTGTGCCCTTGCTGGAGAGGAGTTGAGATCATTTTGAGTAGAAGAGGCATTCTGGTTTTTGGAATTTTCAGCGTTTTTATGCTAGTTTTTCCTCATCTTTGTGGATTTATCTACCTTTGATCTTTGAGGCTGATGACTTTGGATGGGGTTTTTGTGTGACGGTCCTTTATGTTGATGTTGACGTTGTTTCTGTTTGTTAGTTTTCCTTATAACAGTCAGGCCCCTCTTCTGCGGGTCTGCTGCAGTTTGCTGGAAGTGTACTCCAGACCCTGTTTGCCTGGGTATCACCAGCAGAGGCTGTAGAACAGCAAAGATTGCTTCCTGCTCCTTCCTCTGGAAGCTTCGTCCCAGAAGGGCACTGGCCTGATGACAGCTGGAGCTCTCCTGTGTGAGGTTCTGTCAAGCCCTGTTGGGAGTTGTCTCCCAGTCAGGAGGCATGGGGGTTAGGGACCCACTTGAGGAGGGAGTGTGTCCCTTAAGAGAACTGGTGTGCTGTGCTGGGAGAATCCCTCTTGTCAGGATCAGCTGCTGTCTTCAGAGCAGGCAGGCAGGAACGATTAAATCTGCTTGTGCTGTGCCCACAGCCACCTCTTCCCCAGGTGCTCTGTCCCAGGGAGATGGGGGTTTTGTCTGTAAGCCTCTGACTGGGGCTGTTACCTTTCTTTCAGAGATGCCCTGCCCAGTGAGGGGGAATCTAGAGAAGCAGTCTGGCCACAGCTGCTTTGCTGCACTGTGATGAATTTGCCAGTCCATACCTCCGAGACTCCTTGGAACTGTCAGGGAAAATGGCCTACTAAAGCCTCAGTAATGGCAGACGTCCCTCATCCCATGAAGCTCAATTGTCCTAGGTTGACTTCAGACTGCTGTGCTGGCAGTGAGAATTTCAAGCCAGTGGTTCTTAGCTTGCTAGGTTCTGTGGGAGTGGGACCTGCTGAGCGAGACCACTTGGCTCCCTGGCTTCAGCCTCCTTTCCAGGGGAGTAAATGGTTCTGTCTCGCTGGGGTTCCAGGCATCACTAGGGTAGGAAAAATACTCCTTCATCTAGCTCTGTGTCTGCCCAAATGGCCACCCAGTTTTGTGCTTGAAACCTAAGGCCCTGGTGGTGTAGGCACACAAGGGAATCTCCTGATCTACAGATTGCAAAAACCATGGAAAAAGTGTAGTAACAAGCTAGGCAGCACTGTCCCTCATGGCTCCCCTGGCTCGGGGAAAGAGGTCCCCTGGCCTCTTGAACTTCCTGGGTAAGCAACTCCCCACCCTTCTTCTGCTTGCCCTCCATGGGTTTGACCTGCTGCCTAACCAGTCCTAATGAGAGGAACGGGGTACCTCAGTTGGAAATGCAGAAATCACCTGCCATCTGGATTGGTCTTGCTGGGAGCTGCAAACCAGAACTGCTCCTATTTGGCCGTCTTCGGCTTCATCCTTTTGTGTTTTTAAGAACAGTCTTCCCTATGAATTTTACCAAAAAGTGTACTCAGTACAGTAGTTTACTAACTCTACTTTTGTCATACACTAGAAACATCTTAATATCTACAAAGACTAGATGTTGAAAATTAGGACTAATTTGTCCACTTATATGCACTATATACACAGCACAGTAAAAGAAAATGCAGACATAAGGGACAATGGTAAAGTGTGCCTCACCATAAACACACTGGTATTTCAATTACCCTTTGCCCTTTCTGCTCCTCTTTCCTCCCTGAGCCAACACACATATAGTAATGTGTACTGCTCAGATAAGTGGTTTGATCCATTTCCCAAAGACAATATTTCATATGAATCAAAAGGATATCTACAAAGTGTTATTTACTCCCTCTACTTTTAACATACTTTGTGCACTTCTAGAAAGACTAGATGTTTCAAATAAGGACTTAAATTTGTCCACTATATACACAGGTAACAATGGTTATATCTGAAAGTGTCTTCTAAATAGGAACATTCTGGTCTAAAATCTTTCATTCCTTCTAACTCCTCTCTACCACCAACCTAGTGGATATAGGCATATGTGTCATTTAGAACTGATGTTATCATTTCACTTCCAAAAGTCCTTTTCAGAAGATAGCCTTTCTATGAATTTCAACAAAGTGTACAAAAATAGAGTTAGTAAACTAACTCTCATAAATTGTTATAAATTGGCAACCTCTTTAATATCTAGAGACTAGACTAGATATTATAAAATTAAGACTACTTCATCCAGTATACACACAATATATACAGTATAGCAAAGTTAAATGCAATGCATGTAACATATAGGTAATGGATTAAGCTGAAATTTTCTAGTAAACATTAGCAAAACACTTTTTATTTTTTATTTTTTATTATTATACTTTAAGTTTTAGGGTACATGTGCACATTGTGCAGGTTAGTTACATATGTATACATGTGCCACGCTGGTGCGCTGCACCCACTAACTCGCATCTAGCATTAGGTATATCTCCCAACGCTATCCCTCCCCCCTCCCCCCACCCCACAACAGTCCCCAGAGTGTGATATTCCCCTTCCTGTGTCCATGTGATCTCGTTGTTCAGTTCCCACCTATGAGTGAGAATATGCGGTGTTTGGCTTGGATGAAATTGGAAATCATCATTCTCAGTAAACTATCGCAAGAGCAAGACACTTTTTGCAATATCTTCCTTCCAATCTCCCTCAACCCAATGAACATGTACAGAGAGGACGCTGTTCACAGAGGTGGTTCAACAATGCCAGTTCCAAAAAGTATTTCTCATTACTTTTAAAAGATATTTACAGAAAGTGTTATTCTACTACTTCTATTTTTAAATACACCAAGCACTTCCAAATATCTAGAAAGATTAAATATTTCATATAACTTGTCCACCATGTACATGGCACTGTTAAATAAAATTGCACACACATAACAACAGTTATAATCTGAGGTATCTTCTAAACATGACCATTTTGGCCTTGAAGTAGTCCTTCCTTTCTTCTCTCTGCCTTTATTTCAGTAGACAAGTATAGGCATGTGTCATACTTTAGAAATGGTTGAACAAATTTAGATCCAAAAGTTATTTACAGAAGACAAGGTTTCCTATGAATTTCAACACAAAGCTTACAAAAAGTGCTAATTTTACTAAGTACTTTGTCATACACTGCCAGCCTCTTTAACATCTAGAGACTAGATGTTGCAAAATTAGGACTCATTTGTTCATTATATGCGCTATATACAGAGCAAAACACAATGCACAAAACATACAGAAAAATGGTGCCTGAAAATGTGCAAGTATGAGCACACTAGCATGTTACCTTTTGCAGTTTCATCCGTCCCAGCTCCTCTAAACTACTGAGCAAGTATAGACAGTACTATACCACTCACAAAGATGGCTTAATAATTCAATTTCCAAAACACAGTATTTCCTATGAATTTCAGCAAAAAGACATTTACAAAGTGAAATTTTGCTACCTCTACATTTAACATACATCAGGCCCTTCTAAACATCTAAATAGACTAGCGGTTTCAGGTAAGAAGTTAATCTGTCCACTATGTACACTGCAGCCTTGAATAAACTGCATACATGTAACAATAGTTATAATTTGAAGGAGTCTTCCAAATGTGAACATTCTGGCCTAAAAATCTTTCCATCTCCATCAACCCAGTGGGCAAGAATGCTCAAGTTTTCAGAAGACAATCTTCCCTAGGAATTTAAAAACAAAATGTACAAAAATATTAGTTTGCTAACTCTACTTTTGTAATTCACTGGCAACCTCCATAACATCTAGAAAGACTAGATGTAAATTAGGACTTGTTTTCCTCTATATACACTTTATACATAGATAAGTAAAAGAAAATGCACAAACATAAGATATAATGGTTAATCTTGCCTCACTGTAAGCACACTGGTGGCACAGAGCTCTCTGCACAGCCTCCTCCTCCTCCTCTCCTGAACTGGCGCATAATACAATGCATATTACTCAACTTGTGGTTTGGCCCTTCCCCCTAAAACAATGTTTCATTCGAATTTTAACAAAAAGATACTTACAAGATGTGTTATTTTACTACTTCTAGTTTAAACATATATCAGGCACCTCAGAACATCTAGAAACACTAGACATTTCAAAAAAGTGTAGCATTGTCAATGATCTATACAGTAGTAGGGAATAAAACGCACACAAAACAATGGAAAGAATATGAGAATGTCTTCTGAATATGACTAGTCTGGCACAGAACCTTCTTCTTTTCCTTCTCAGGTCTTCTTCTTCATGCCCTCTAACCCACTGAACAAATGTGGTTGTGTCTGTCGTTCCTGGTATGGCTTCCAGAAGTGGTCCAACAATTCCATTGCGAAAAGCCATTTCCAGAAGACATCTATTTTCTATCATTTCTTTTTGAACAAATGAGAATTTATAAGATGTGTGATTTTCTAACTTTATCATACATCACAACCTCTTTCCATCTAGAAGGGCTAAATGTGGCAAATGTTTTCTATTTAAAAGTTGGGGCGGGGGCAGTTGAGAACCGCTTTCTCACTTTACACACGCAGGGCCTTCTATAAACGGTGGTAATTAAATCTTCCCAAAGGGTAGTGGGCATCTCCAATACGCCAAATGTGGCCTGTTCCACCACTTCTCTCTTCCCACATCCAGGTCTGGTAGAGAAGGAAGACCAGTGGCCAGGTGGCCGCTATCCGTCGTTGTCTGGGACACTGCTCACCTTCCGGCCGTTGTTAATGCCGTTGTTCCTGTCGTCAGGACTAGGTCGGTCTCGACCAGCTGGGACAGAGCGGTCCGATCTGCCCGCGCCCCGGTGGCAGGCGACCCACCTTCCCGCGCCCTCCACACCCTAACGGCCTCCGCTGCGAGTTGGGGCGGTCGCCATGCTTCCCGGCCCCCCACGCCCGCAGCCACTCAAATGCGCTGCATCCTAGCAGCTCGGCAGGGGCTTAGTTTAGGCCCCGCAGGGCTGGGCCGGGAGACATGGAGGCCGGCGGGGTCTGGGCTGAGAGAGGAGCTGCCATCAGTCACGGAGGTGGGGTAGGGAAGAGAGGTTCGCGGCTTCTTCAGGCCTGGGCCCGCGAGGGGAGCCACAGCGAGGGCACCTGGAGCCTGCAGGGCAGAGGCTGCGGGAGGTCCTGAACCCCCAGCCCCTCCGCAGGCCCATGGTCAGCGCGTCCCACCCGGGTCTCTGCCGGAACTCCACATTGTCTCTATCCAATCCACCACTGATGGGCAGGCCTATGTCTCTGCTGTTGTGAATAGTGCTGCCATGAACATGAGTGCGTGTGTTCTTTTGGTATAATGATATATTTTCCTTTGACTAAATACGCAGGAATGGTATTGCTGGGTCCAATGGTAGCTCTGTTTTTAGTTCTTTTGGAAAATCTCCAAACTGCTTTCCACAGTGGCTGAACTAATGTTCATTCTCACCAACAGTGTATAAGCGTTCACGTTTCTCTGCAGCCTCCGCAATATCTGTTGTTTTTTGACTTTTAAATAGCAGCCATTCTGACTGGTGTTAGATGATATCTCATTGTGGTTTTGATTTGCATTTCTCTGATGATTAGTAATGATGAACAATTTTTTCATCTAGACAGAAATCAATAGGGAAACACTAGACTTGACATACACTTTGGACCAAATGGACCTAAAGACGTTATAGAACATTTCATCCAACAGCAACAGAATATTCATTCTTCTCAAGTGCAAATGAGACATTATCCAGGATCAAATATTAGGTAACAAAATAAGACTCAACAATTTTAAGAAGATTGAAATCATATCAAGTATCTTTTCTGACCACAAAATTATGAAAGTAGAAATGAATAGAAATAAATAATAGGGGAAAATTTGAAAATATTACAAATGTGGAAATTAACCAACATGCTCTTGAATAAACAATGGGTTAATGAAGAAATCAAAGGGAAGTTAAAAAATATCTTAAGACAGATGAAAATGAAAATGCAACGTACCACAACTTATGGGATGTAACAAAAGAAGTTCTTAGCAGGAGGAAAGTTTATAGTAATAAATGCCGATATTGAAAAAGAAGAAAGATCTCAAACAACCTAATGTTACATTTCAAGAAACTAGAAAAAGAGAAGAGCAAACTAATCCCAAAGTTAGCAGAAGGAAGGAAATAACAAAGATCAGAGCAGAAATAAGTAAGAGATTAGAAAACAAAAGAACACATTTGCAAAACTAACAGTTCAGTTTTTGAAAAGATAAAAACAATTGACAAAACTTTAGCAGACCAACTAAGAAAAAAAAGAAGACTCTAATAAAATAAGAAATGAAAGAGGAGACATTAAAATTGAAACTACGCAAGTACAAAAGATCATAAAAGAATACTACGAACAATTTTACACCAACAAATAGGATGACCTAGAAGAAATGGTTAGATTTCCAGAAACATAACAACAATGAATCATGAAAAAATAGAAAATCTGAACAGACTAATGAGTAAGGGGGTTGAATCAGTGATAAAAGTGTCCTAGCAAAGAAAAGCCCAGAACCTGATGGTTCATGGATTGGAGGAATTAATATTATTAAAATGTCTGTGCTGCTGAAAGTGGTATACAGATTCAATGCAATTCCTATAAAAGTTCTAATGACCTTTTTGTTTCACAGAAATAGAAAAAGCAATTCAAAAATTCATATGGAATGACAAAAATCTTAAGTAGCTAAAGCACTTTTGAGCAAAAAGACCAGAGCTGGAGGCATCACACTACCTGATTAAAGATATATTACAAAGTTATAGTATTCAAAACAGAAAGGTACTGGCATAACAACAGACACATGGACCAATGTAATGTGATAGAGAGCCCAGACATAAACTCATGCATTTGTGATTAATTGATTTTTGCCGAAGATGCCAAGAATAAACACACTATGGGGAAAGGACAGTTTCTTTAATAAATGATGCAGGGGAAATCAAATACCCACATACAGAAGAATGAAATTGAACCCTTATCTCACACCATGTGTAAAAAGCCCACTAAAAATGGTTTAAAGATTTAAATGCGAGACCTGAAAATGTAAAACTACTAGAAGAAAGCATAGGGAAAAATGTCCCTGAAATTAATCTTGGCAATACTTTCTTGGTGATGATCTCAAAAGCTCAGGAAACCAAAGCAGAAGTAGACAAATGGGATTACCTGAAACCAAAAGCTTCTCTACAACAAAGTAAATAACAGATTGAAGAGACAACCCATGGACTGGGAGAAAATATTTACAAACCATACATGGCTAATATCCAAAATATGTAAGAAATGCAAACAACTTAAATTTGTTAGCAAGAAAACAAATAACGCCATTTAAAACTGAGCAACGGACTTGAATGGACATCTTTCAAAAGACCAATAGATATATAAAAAAGTGTCTACATCACTAATCATCAGGGAAATGCAAATTAAAACAAAACAAAGAGATATCACCTCATACCTGTTAGAATGACTATTATCAATAAACTAAAAGGTAATAAGTACTGACAAGGATGTGGGGAATCCTTATATACTAATGGCAGGAATGTAAATTAATACAGGCATTATTGAAATCAGCATGGAGATTCCTCAAAAAACTAAAGATAGAATTACCATAGGATCTAGCAATTATATTTCTGGATACATAGCCAAAGAGATTGAAATTTGTATTTTAAAAATATGTTAGAGACCAGCCTGACCAATATGGTGAAACCCCATCTCTACTAAAAATACAAAAAAAATTAGCCGGGTGTGGTTTGCACCTGTAGTCCCAGCTATTCAGGTGGCTGAGACAGGAGAATTGCTTGAACCTGGGAGGCCAAGTTTGCAGTGAGCTGAGATTATGCCACTGCACTCCAGCCTGGGCTACAGAGCAAGACTCCATCTCAAAAAAAAAAAAAATGGGTAGATTTTCCTCTAATTTGGTTTTAACGTCTCTCTTTGAAGAGTGGCTAGAAACTCTAGCCTGGCTCTGATGGGCTCCAGTGGAGGTGGTTGTGGTTGTGGATGTTTTCGGTGTTCTTTTCATGGAATACTTCCTTATCCTGATGGAGAGCTAATGCCTAATTGTCCTATTTATGACCAGGTGTCCCTCTCACTGGAAACTTGTTTTCACTGGCAGACACCATTGTGGCTTTTGTCTGACT
This sequence comes from Homo sapiens, assembly GCF_000001405.40. Lineage (NCBI taxonomy): Eukaryota > Metazoa > Chordata > Mammalia > Primates > Hominidae > Homo > Homo sapiens. Next base: position 434,694 of record NT_167246.2, read on the forward strand.
AGTGTGTCCAGTTCATTCCTACCAAGATTGCCACTCTCTAAGGGAGCCTTGTCCAGAAAAAAAAATTAATTTTAGGTGTGTCAGGTGAGACGCCAAGAAGACACATAAAAAAAAATAGTATAAGTAGTTTTATTACTTAAAGATTCCAGAGAGAAGAGGGCAACTTGCCTCACAGGCCTAATGGGAGAAAGGGCATCCCTTAGAGACATGCATGTGCAACCAGTGGGTGGGTAGCGAGAGAGAGTGAGTGACAGACCAGAAAGCCAAAGCCCTTATTGGAGTACACAGCATTATCCAAGCAGGGAGTAACTGATTGCTGGGTTTAGAGCAAGCAGGCATGATTTCTTGGGAGTTAAGTTGTATTGAGAGGTGTTCACTGCTGCAAATCTGCAGTCCATGTGGGGTGTGGGGATCAGTGGGATAAGTCAAGTAGGTTGTATCTAGGTGTCCCACACGGAGGTGGTAACCAAGAGGCCAAATATCTGGATTGACCACCTGAAGAAACTGGGAGAGGAGAACTCAAAATTGTGATAAGGGTGACTAAGTCCTGCTTCTGGCATGAGGAAGTTCAATTATATATTGAAAATGAACGCTGAGGTAACATAAACTCATAAGAATTCACTACAGATATCTGCACTACCATGTTCATTGTAGCATTTTTCACAATAGCTGAGGTATGAAAGGAACCTAAATGTCCATCAACGGATAAACAGATAAATATATAAAAGGGATATAATGTGATATATATGAACCACATTATCTATATAAAATGGAATACTATTCAGCCTTAAAGAAAAAAGGGAAATTCTGTCTTTACAACAACATTCATGAACCTGCAGGACATTATGCGAAGTGAAAGAAGCCAGACACAGAAGGACAAATACCACATGATCTCACTCTTATGTGGAATCTAAAAAAGATAAACTCATACAAGTGGAGAGTAGAATGATAGCTACCTGGGGGGCAGGGGATGGAGAAAGGGGGGATTTTAAACAAGTAGATTTAAATGTTCTCACTATAAGAAAAATAAGTATGTGAGGTGATGACTGTGTTAGCTGGACTTAATCATTCCATATTGCACATATACATATATCAAAAGATCACATTGTATCTAATCAATATATAAAATTATTTGTCAATTAAAATAATAAAAGATTGGAGTAATATTTAAGATTTTTTTAACATTTTGCAGGAAAAATCTTGGAATTGAATTTAAAAGACAACTGGGAAGGCATAAATAATATAGGTCAGTCTCAAAGAGCCCCTCATTAATAAGGAACAGATATGCAGTTTAGTCTTTATGTATTCTAGTTTTTCTGTTGAATGACTCTCAAATCTCTCCTTTTTTTCCAGTTGTCTTGTACATTTGAGCCTTAGCCCCACGGGAAACTGAAAAAAAAAATCGGACGGCTCAGTAAAACCTCTTCCTTTCATTGTAAATGTTACTCACAGCATCTTTTCCCATGTTTGTTGGTGACAAATTCACTGTCATCTCAGTAAGAGTATAACATCATGCTGAAGATATTTCTGTGAAGAGTTTTGTACTGAGAACATCATACCAGGACAACTCCTTGAAGGGCATTAATTGCAGCTTTGGGATTTATACTCCCAAAGGCTGCAGTCAATGAAAGAGTATCCCGTTATTCTTTTTGTTTCCATAAAGATTACATTTGCTCTGGGATAAAGGGTCCATCCCGTGATACCTTGAATGCCCTAAAGTATTCCCACATTCTGCTAAAAAGCAGATCTTTTGGACAAACTCAGGCTCTCTTTTCTGTAGCAATGACAATCACAGTTATTTCCAGACTCTGTTCTTCATAGTTAGATTTAAAACATTGGCAAAAATGTTATAAGAAGGCAATTAGGTTGATGTTTTTAGGTTGTATGGCAACCAGAGAGCCCCTTCATCAGTTTATACCTGATGAGGTTGTAGGCCAGGTAGAGAGTGACAGGGAACAGGGACAAACACAGGAAGGTCAGTACTGAAAGAAGTTGGTGCACTTCTTAAGGGGTAGACAGCTTCCATATTTCAAAATTGCAGAAAGTGTAGATTTTAAATGTTCTTACTACAAAAATATGATGGTTGTGGGGTGATGGATATGTTAACTAGCTTAATATAATCATTCTATAATGTATATATACATCAAAACATTACAGTGTACTCCATAAATATATACAATTATTACTAGTCAATGAAAAATTAAGAAAACAAACCAGATATAGTATAAAGGAATGGATGTGACACAAATTGGCATAATGTCTCTTAATAATAATTGGGGAAGGAAGAGACACTCAGCCATCCATTTTCCCTATAGTATTTGATTTAAAAAAAGAGAGAAGATATTTTATTCTACAACTCATAAAAGCTACATTTGATAGGGTCTTCATTTCCCTCTTTTCCACCAAGAAGAAAATTGAAGCTGAGACTTTTCTCTACATGAGTTCTGGGGGTTTTTTTGTCCCTTATTTCCTATCCCTTTTATCAACTCCGGAGGAATGCTGAAAGATGGGTCATATAACAGATAGTTATCAGATTCCACCTTTTAATTACTGTAATAAGGAACTCAGGCAGCTGCATTAGGAAAGAAAATTAGGTCGGCATCAGCAAAAGTATCCACAGCATTTGAGTTCAAGTATCTTATGGCATATTACCTTTCATCTTAGGGAGATTTAAAAAAATCCTTGGAATTTTCCCATGATTTCTCAAAAGGTTAATGCTCATTCCATTACCAACAATATGGAAAAATGTACAGTATCTTTGTACCAGTCTGGAGCATTTGCACAGATTTGGCCCAAGTTCAATGTTCCTAGCTCTCCAGCTGTAACTCAACCAGTTAGGCAACTCCTTACATCTTTTTCAAGAGTCAAGATTACAATATTTGAGTTATTAAAAGTTTTTCAAAACACTGAAGGTGAGTCGGGTGTAGATATTAGTTTTTTGAGACAGAGTCTTGCTCTGTCACCCAGGCTGGAGGGCAATGGCATGATCTCAGCTCACTGCAACCTCCGCCTCCTGGGTTCAAGCGATTCTCCTGCCTCAGCCTCCAGAGTAGCTGGTATTACAGGTGCCCACTACCATGCCTGCCTGGCTAATTTTTGTATTTTTTAGTAGAGATGGTGTTTCACCACGTTGGTCAGGCTGGTCTCGAACTCCTGACCTCAGGTGTTCCACCTGCCTCGGCCTCCCAAAATGCTGAGATTACAGGCATGAGCCACCACGCCTGGCCTCTTTTGCCAAATTTATCAGAGAGTATAAGAGGAAGAGTTGGCTGTGGCAGGAGGGGAGCAGAAGGGGGATGGCAAAACTATTTAGGAATATTGAAATGCTGGGTTCCTGTATTTTATTGCAAAAACTATATCATAAAAGAGTGTTTATCTTTCTCATGCAAGATTGGTAATGTGCAAGAGAAAATAAGCAACTGAAAATCAAGCTATCAAAGCATATTTGAATTTCTTCATTTTAAAAAAATAACTACAAGGTGAATTTTCTGGATTTTATACAATGTTCACGTATCTTTCTACTAATATTAGTTAATGTCTGTTCAGAAGCTCCATTAAAAATTGTGGAAAACCCAGAAAATACAAATTATAAATTGTGACTCAGAATTTAAAGTATAGTTCAGTTATTGGCCTAAAGCATATACAGTTTTGTAGAAACCATGTTTAAGTCTTCTTGTCCTTGTCTAACAAACTTGTTATACATTCTTTCAACTTCGCATACCACATTCAGACCTCTCTTCACTGTTGTGCATCCAAACACTCTCCATTTCTCTCTTACCAACCTATGTTTTTGTTAGACTCTGTAATCTTTATGTCTTCCAGTAATATAGTCTCATTTACCTTTGGAAGCATTCTATCACCGATCACTCTATTTTGCTGTATTAATCAGCTTTGTGTATATTGTGAATTTTTATAAGTTGGTGTGTGCGTGCATATTCTCTTTAAACTTTGATTTGTGCATTATTTTATTTGTCTAGAAATAAACTGCTAGCATAAATAGCATTTGATTCTTTCTATAATCATATTCAATTATTTCTTTTCAGTTAATATTTTAAAGTGACTATCTAATTGCTTTTTAATATGGGAAATTCCTATCTATAAGTAAGATCAGTAAGACTGCTGTTATTCCTTTCTCTGTAATTGCAAAATTGGAAATAGCCTGAAAATATAAAAATAATTTGACTTTTTAAAGTAAAAAATCATTTTTCATAAATATTGTGTTCCTGATTATGGACTATCTTAGTCTTCATTAATCCAAATGTTAATTCAGGGATGTATATAAAGAACTCAGTAACTTGAGAAGCTATTGCTTGTATCTGTAGCTGGATAAATATCTCAATGAAGCATATAAAGGGAACTGTATAAAAATTCTACTACCATTATGGTGCACACTCTCTGGAAGTGGGATACTTTTGTCTTCAATCTGTTTGCAAGTGAGCGGTTGACAATGCATGGACAGACTTTGAGTTTATGTGGTTCTTTCTTTAGGTATAAGAAAAAGATGAATGATGATTAAAAAAAATGCAAGTTCGGAAGACTTCTTTATTCTACTTGGATTTTCTAATTGGCCTCAGCTGGAAGTAGTTCTCTTTGTGGTTATCTTGATCTTCTACCTGATGACACTGACAGGAAACCTGTTCATCATCATCCTGTCATACGTGGACTCCCATCTCCACACACCAATGTACTTCTTCCTTTCAAACCTCTCATTTCTGGATCTCTGCCACACCACCAGCTCTATCCCTCAGTTGCTGGTGAATCTCCGGGGCCCGGAAAAGACCATCTCGTATGCTGGTTGCATGGTTCAACTTTACTTTGTTCTTGCACTGGGAATCGCAGAGTGTGTCCTACTGGTGGTGATGTCGTATGATCGTTATGTAGCTGTGTGTAGACCTTTGCATTACACTGTCCTCATGCACCCTCGTTTCTGCCACTTGTTGGCTGCGGCTTCTTGGGTAATTGGTTTTACTATCTCAGCACTTCATTCCTCCTTTACTTTCTGGGTACCCCTTTGTGGACATCGCCTAGTGGATCACTTCTTCTGTGAAGTTCCAGCACTTCTGCGTTTATCATGTGTTGACACCCATGCAAATGAGCTGACCCTCATGGTCATGAGCTCCATTTTTGTTCTCATACCTCTCATTCTGATTCTCACTGCCTATGGTGCCATTGCCCGGGCTGTACTGAGCATGCAATCAACCACTGGGCTTCAGAAAGTGTTTAGGACATGTGGAGCCCATCTTATGGTTGTATCTCTCTTTTTCATTCCAGTCATGTGCATGTATCTCCAGCCACCATCAGAAAATTCTCCTGATCAGGGCAAGTTCATTGCCCTCTTTTATACTGTTGTCACACCGAGTCTTAATCCTCTAATCTACACTCTCAGAAACAAGCATGTAAAAGGGGCAGCGAAGAGACTATTGGGGTGGGAGTGGGGGAAGTGACAGGGAAATCATGTTGTCTGTTGTCATTGTTTTTCCTAGGGTCTTAGCCATCTTGAAAGGTGGTTTCCCTGCTTCTTTGTGATTTATTTTTGTTCTAACAGCTCACAAAACAGAATAGTTCAGTATCACATTTGTTGCTCTTTTTATTATTTAGTTCTGAAATATTATGTTGAGATAAAGTTTCTGATTAGTGCCACTTTGTTCTTTTACAATTGTATATTTTATTTCTGTGAAAATTGTGGACTGTGGTTTCAACGTAAATAAATGTGCATGCGAATAGTTATGAGGAGATTATTTCAAAAATGTTGGGAATATTTCTAACAATGTGCTAAATTATGAACTGATGATATATACAGAAAGAGAAGGGCAATATTGCAAAGACTTAGGCTAAAAAGGTTTTTGGTTATTGAATAAACCTTAAATGAAGCTAAAAATAGTCACAGCAAAGAAAAATGGTAAACATAATGAATAACATTGTTTAAGATATGGTAAAGGATATATCATAAGTATTTGGTTGAAAGACACTTTTTAAAGACACTAAATTATCTAATTTATCCTGTAGGTCTACATACTTGTCACATTGAACAGTAAACTAATATCTCTTTAAAATGGCTCTTTCGTTCATCTGTCCATTTATTCATTAACTTATTCTTTATTAGCTAAATCTTATTGAATGTGTACTCTCTTCCAGTTTGTGAAATTCTTGGTAACGTGTATAAATATAACATACTCTGTCTGAACAGAACACACTCTCTGTCAGGAAAAATGGCAACATAAAAGATGAAGTATCTGTGCATGGCTTAATTTGTCACTGGGGGTAATGCTAATACATTAAGACAGCTTTTAAAAGTCAGAAACAATAAACTCTGATTACTCTTCAGATTGTATAAATCTTTCACTTTTTAAAAATCAAAAACAAGGCCGAGCACGGTGGCTCACACCTGTAATCCCAGCACTTTGGAAGGCCGAGTCAGGTGGATCATGAGGTCAGGAGACCAAGACCATCCTGGCTAACAAGGTGAAACCCCATCTCTACTAAAAATACAAAACAATTAGCTAGGCATGGTGGCACATGCCTGTAGTCCCATTGAAGCTAAACTTTTTTTTCACTTTACATGAACATTTTGAAATCACTACTAAATTCAATATTTTCAACATATTATTTCATCCGTATGTAAAATTATTGGGATTGCAATTGTTATGTTTTCTATAATCACATTTTTGAAAATAACCTGAAAATGCTGAAAAGAAAAGTTCCTTATTCATTAACAAAGAAAAATTTTGTGTTTTATGGAAATTATCTTCCTTAGCTAGGTTAGAAATTTCTTTCAATTACCATTTACCTAGAAGTCACCATAAAATGAATGGGAAGAACTCGATAGTTATTCTTCTATAAGGCAAATATATGAATAAAATATAAAATTAAAAAATTGTTTTCTATTTTTTGTGACTTTTTATTATGGTAAAATTTCAAACTTAGAGAAGAATTGCAAAAAAGTAGTACAAAGACTGACATTTACCCTATAACCAGATTAAGCATTAGTTTACATTTTCCCCCAAAGCTTTGTTATATCATCTATCTATCTATCTATCTATCTATCTATCTATCTATATCTCTATCATCTATTATATCTATCTATCTATCTATCTATCTATCTATCTATCTATCTATCTATCATCTATCTCTTTTTCTGCACTAGCTGAGAGTAAGTTGGAGATGCCACGTACCTTTACACCAAGTACTTTTTTTTTTAATTATTAGGTCATTTTTATTCCTTTTAAATTTTCTATTTTGTGTTAATTATTTGTCTGCATTCTATGTACATAACTGTATTGGAGTTTCAGTTTCATATTAAGTTGTATAAACTTTTGTGTTCCAAGGTTATACAAATTCATATGTATTTTCTTAGTTCATTGCCTCTTATTTTGGTTTGTTACAATTTGTGATGTTAAAAGTCTAAAAATGTGTGCGTGGTTAATACTATCTATTGTTCATTAACATTGTGGTTTCTTCCTTTTCTTAATGCTATAATGTTCTTTTATTATAATTATTATTATTATACTTTAAGTTCTACGGTACTTGTGCACAACCTGCAGGTTTATTACATATGTATACATGTGCCATGTTGCTGTGCTGCACCCATTAACTCGTCATTTACATTAGGTATATCTCCTCATGCTATCCCTCCCCCCACCACACAACAGGCCCCGGTGTGTGATGTTCCCCTTCCTGTGTCCAAATGTTCTCATTGCTCAATTCCCACTCATGAGTGAGAACATGCGGTGTTTGGTTTTTTGTCCTTGGGATAGTTTGCTGAGAATGATGGTTTCCAGCTTCATCCATGTCCCTACATGGACATGAACTCATCATTTTTTATGGCTGCATAGTATTCCATGGTGTATATGTGCCACATTTTCTTAATCCACTCTATCATTGTTGGACATTTGGGTTGGTTCCAAGTCTTTGCTGTTGTGAATAGTGCCGTAATAAACATACGTGTGCATGTGTCTTTCTAGCAGCATGATTTATAATCCTTTGGGTATATACCCAGTAATGGGATGGCTGGGTCAAATGGTATTTCTAGTTCTAGATCCCTGAGGAATCACCACACTGACTTCCACAATGGTTGAACTAGTTTACAGTCCCACCAACAGTGTAAAAGTGTTCCTATTTCTCCACATCCTGTCCAGCACCTGTTGTTTCCTGACTTTTTAATGATTGCCATTCTAACTGGTGTGAGGTGGTATCTCATTGTGGTTTTGATTTGCATTTCTCTGATGGCCAGTGATGGTGAGCATCTTTTCATGTGTTTTTTGGCTGCATAAATGTCTTCTTTTGAGAAGTGTCTGTTCATGTCCTTCGTCCACTTTTTGATGGGGCTGTTTGTTCTTTTCTTGTAAATTTGTTTGAGTTCATTGTAGATTCTGGATATTAGCCCTTTGTCAGATGAGTAGCTTGCAAAAATTTTCTCCCATTCTGTAGGTTGCCTATTCACTCTGATGGTAGTTTCTTTTGCTGTGCAGAAACTCTTTAGTTTAATTAGATCCCATTTGTCAATTTTGGCTTTTGTTGCCATTGCTTTTGGTGTTTTAGACATGAAGTCCTTGCCCATGCCTATGTCCTGAATGGTATTGACTAGGTTTTGTTCTAGGGTTTTTATGGTTTTAGGTCTAACATTGAAGTCTTTAATCCATCTTGAATTAATTTTTGTATAAGGTGTAAGGAAGGGATCCAGTTTCGGCTTTCTACATATAGCTAGCCAGTTTTCCCAGCAGCATTTGTTAAATAGGGAATCCTTTCCCCATTTCTTGTTTTTTTCAGGTTTGTCAAAGATCAGATACTTGTAGATGTGTGGTATTATTTCTGAGGGCTGTATTCTGTTCCATTGGTCTATATCTCTGTTTTGGTACCAGTACCATGCTGTTTTGGTTACTGTAGCCTTGTAGTATAGTTTGAAGTCAGGTAGCGTGATGCCTCCAGCTTTGTTCTTTTGGGTTAGGATTGGCTTGGCAATGCGGGCTCTTTTTTGGTTCCATATGAACTTTAAAGCAGTTTTTTCCAATTCTGTGAAGAAAGTCATTGGTAGCTTGATGGGGATCGCACCGAATCTATAAATTACCTTGGGCAGTATGGCCATTTTCGCGATATTGATTCTTCCTATCCATGAGCATGGAATGTTCTTCCATTTGTTTGTATCCTCTTTTATTTCATTGAGCAGTGGTTTGTAGTTCTCCTTGAAGAGGTCCTTCACATCCCTTGTAAGTTGGATTCCTAGGTATTTGATTCTCTTTGAAGCAATTGTGAATGGGAGTTCACTCATGATTTGGCTCTCTGTTTGCCTGTTATTGGTGTATAAGAATGTTTGTGATTTTCGCACATTGATTTTGTATCCTGAGCCTTTGCTGAAGTTGCTTATCAACTTAAGGAGATTTTGGGCTGAGATGATGGGGTTTTCTAGATATACAATCATGTCATCTGCAAACAGGGACAATTTGACTTCCTCTTTTCCTAATTGAATACCCTTTATTTCTTTCTCCTGCCTGATTGCCCTGGCCAGAACTTCCAACACTATGTTGAATAGGAGTGGTGAGAGAGGGCATCCCTGTCTTGTGCCAGTTATCAAAGGGAATGCTTCCAGTTTTTGCCCATTCAGTATGATATTGGCTGTGGTTTTGTCATAAATAGCTCTTATTATTTTGAGATACGTTCCATCAATACCTAGTTTATTGAGAGTTTTTAGCATGAAGGGCTGTTGAATTTTGTCAAAGCCCTTTTCTGCATCTATTGAGATAATCATGTGGTTTTTGTCTTTTGTTCTGCTGGATTATGTTTATTGATTTGCGTACGTTGAACCAGGCTTGCATCCCAGGGATGAAGCCCACTTGATCATGGTGAATAAGCTTTTTGATGTGCTGCTGGATTCGGTTTGCCAGTATTTTATTGAGGATTTTTGCATCGAGGTTCATCAGGGATGTTGGTCTAAAATTCTTTTTTTGTTGTGTCTCTGCCAGGCTTTGGTATCAGGATGATGCTGGCCTCATAAAATGAGTTAGGGAGGATTCCCTCTTTTTCTATTGATTGGAGTAGTTTCAGAAGGAATGGTACCAGCTCCTCCTTGTACCTCTGGTAGAATTCGGCTGTGAATCCGTCTGGTCCTGGACTTTTTTTTGGTTGGTAAGCTACTAATTATTGCCTCAATTTCAGAGCCTGTTATTTGGTCTATTCAGAGATTCAACTTCTTCCTGGTTTAGTCTTGGGAGGGTGTATGTGTCGAGGAATTTATCCATTTCTTCTAGATTTTCTAGTTTATTTGCATAGAGGTGTTTATAGTATTCTCTGATGGTAGTTTGTGTTTCTGTGGGATCGGTGGTGATATCCCCTTTATCATTTTTTGTTGTGTCTATTTGATTCTTCTCTCTTTTCTTCTTTATTAGTCTTGCTAGCAGTCTATCAATTTTGTTGATCTTTCAAAAAACCAGCTCCTGGATTCATTGATTTTTTGAATGGTTTTTTGTGTGTCTATCTCCTTCAGTTCTGCTCTGATCTTAGTTATTTCTTGCCTTCTGCTAGCTTTTGAATGTGTTTGCTCTTACTTCTCTAGTTCTTTTAATTATGATGTTAGGGTGTCAGTTTTAGATCTTTCCTGCTTTCTCTTGTGGACATTCAGTGTTATAAATTTCCCTCTACACACTGCTTTAAATGTGTCCCAGAGATTCTGGTATGTTGTATCTTTGTTCTCGCTGGTTTCAAAGAACATCTTTATTTCTGCCTTCATTTCGTTATGTACCAGTAGTCATTCAGGAGCAGGTTGTTCAGTTTCCATGTAGTTGAGTGGTTTTGAGTGAGTTTCTTAATCCTGAGTTGTAGTTTGATGGCACTGTGGTCTGAGAGACAGTTTGTTATAATTTCTGTTCTTTTACATTTGCTGAGGAGTGCTTTTCTTCCAGCTATGTGGTCAATTTTGGAATAAGTGTGATGTGGTACTGAGAAGAATGTATATTCTGTTGATTTGGGGTGGAGAGTTCTGTAGATGTCTATTAGGACCGCTTGGTGCAGAGCTGAGTTCAATTCCTGGATATCCTTGTTAACTTTCTGTCTTGTTGATCTGTCTATTGTTGACAGTGGGGTGTTAAAGTCTCCCATTATTATTGTGTGGGAGTCTAAGTCTCTTTGTAGGTCTCTAAGGACTTGTTGTATGAATCTGGGTGCTCTTGTATTGGGTGCATGTATATTTAGGATAGTTAGCTCTTCTTGTTGAATTGATCCCTTTACCATTATGTAATGGCCTTCTTTGTCTCTTTTGATCTTTGTTGGTTTAAAGTCTATTTTATCAGAGACTAGGATTGCAACCCCTCCCTTTTTTTGTTTTCCATTTGCTTGGTAGATCTTCCTCCATCCCTTTATCTTGAACCTATGTGTGTCTCTGCATGTGAGATGGGTTTCCTGAATACAGCACACTGATGGGTCTTGACCCTTTATCCAATTTGCCAGTCTGTGTCTTTTAATTGGAGCATTTAGCCCATTCAAGACATTTACACCAAATATTTTATTCAATGTTTCTTGTCTAAGAAGAAGGATGTTATTTTACATAAGTCCTGCACAGTACCCAAATCAGCAAATTTAATATGGGCACAATATTATTATCTAATCCATAGTCCACAGTGAGATTTCTTAAATAGTCCCAATAATTTTGTTAATAGCCACTTTTTAAAAAAATCCCAGATGATACACTGAGAAATCACATCTCACTAGTCTCCTTCCATCTGGACCAGTGCCACCGCCTTTGTTTGTCTACTTAAACTTGATACTTTTGAATTGTACAGGCAAACTATTTCTCTCAATTAGAGTTTTTCTCATGTGTCTTCATTATTAGAATTAGTCTGTGTATTTTTAACATAAATATCACTGAGGTGACATCATGCCCTGTTCAGAGCAGCATCTCAGCAGTCTCATGATGTTGGTTTGTACAAATACAGGTGATCTTAAGATCAATAAAATCACTTGGTTATGTTGGTGTCTGCCAGGTTTTTCTACTGTAAACTTCACTGTTTTTCAGTTTGAAATTAACAAGAAAGTTGTGAGGAGATATTTTAGACTATGTACATGTCCTGTTCCCCATCAAATTTTTATCCACTAGTTTTGCAATCATTTATGTTTTTCTTAACACCATCATCCCTTCTATGTTTATTAATTAGGGATCTACTGTTAGGAATGGCTTTTTCTTCACCATTCATTTATTTACTCTTACTTTTTATATCAGTACGAGCTTTATAATTCTTCTTTTGTTAAGTTCATTACTACTAATGGTTAAATTGTCCTACAATTAAATGATGGCAAGCCCTTCAAACTGGATTTTATTTTTTTTACGTATCCTGATGTTTTTTGGAGCATTTGTTTACTGCTTTTTGAGTTTACCTGATTTTTTTTTTCTCTCAGGTAATAGGAAATGAATGATGATGGAAAAGTCAATGCTAGCTCTGAGGGGTACTTTATTTTAGTTGGATTTTCTAATTGGCCTTATCTGGAAGTAGTTCTCTTTGTGGTTATTTTGATCTTCTGCTTGATGACACTGATAGGAAACCTGTTCATCATCATCCTGACGTACCTGGACTCCCATCTCCATACTCCCTTGTATTTCTTCCTTTCAAATCTCTCATTTCTGGATCTCTGCTACACCACCAGCTCTATCCCTCAGTTGCTGGTCAGTCTCTGGGGTGTGGAAAAGACCATTTCTTATGCTGGTTGCATGGTTCAACTTTACTTTTTTCTCACACTGGGAACCACAGAGTGTGTCCTACTGGTGGTGATGTCCTATGACCGTTATGCAGCTGTGTGTAGACCTTTGCATTACACTGTCCTCATGCACTCTCGTTTCTGCCACTTGTTGGCTGTGGCTTCTTGGGTAAGTGGTTTTACAAACCCAGCACTTCATTCCTCCTTCACCTTCTGGGTACCTCTGTGTGGACACCGCCAAATAGATCACTTTTTCTGTGAAGTTCCGGCACTTTTATGATTATCATTTGTCAATACCCGTGAAAATAAACTGACCCTCATGATCACAAGCTCCATTTTTGTTCTGCTACTTCTCACCCTCATTTTCACTTCCTATGGTGCTATTGCCCAGGCTGTACTGAGGATGCAGTCAACCACTGGGCTTCAGAAAGTATTTGGAACATGTGGAGCTCATCATATGGTTGTATCTCTCTTTTTCATTCCGGCCATGTGCATGTATCTCCAGCCACCATCAGGGAATTCTCAAGATCAAGGCAAGTTCATTGCTCTCTTTTATACTGTTGTTACACCTAGTCTTAACCCTCTAATCTACACCCTCAGAAACAAAGATGTAAGAGGGGTAGTGAAGAGACTAAGGGGGTGGGAGTGAGCCTGTGTTTGTGTGATATTAACAATATAATGGAGTCTTTCCTCACAATGATTCATCCATCTGTTCATTTATCAACCATTCTTTTATTCACTCACTCTGTTAGCACTTGCTGAGCATGTACTCTAACAAAGTCGTGGAGATCCTGGTAACAGGTAGGAATAAAACACATTCAGCTTAAATACCATTCACTTTTGGAGAAAACAGCTGTGTAAAATCAAGATAAAACATCTATAGTGATGTTTTTCCATGGCACAAACCTAATGAATACAAGAAAGACTTTTCCTGATTAAAAATAAGGCATGAAATTTGTTGTAAATATTGATAAAAGTGAAGTTATAATTCCTATGAAAAGATGATACTCTCAATTTTAAAATATCTAGAATATGTCTTTTAATTTTTTGCTGTTTAGGCAGAATACTTTTGTCTTCTATCTTTAGTTTAGTTGAATACACAGCAAAATACTTCAAATCCTTTCCTCCAACACTACTTATTTTTTGTTGGATGTAAATTTTGAGAGGAATTTTGGTCCATATTCTTTGATATCCAATATCAATAGTAAGACAATAAGTTTTATAAATTGTAGCAAGAGAGATGTTGAAGCAGTGTAGCAGAAGTCGGCGTCCAAGATCCCTCTTTTTTACAAGGCAGTGAGAAGGATATTGGAGGTGAAAGGAGCTGGTAAAGCTGACCTATGTAGCTTATAAAGAAATGGTCATCACCGTCTAGGTATACTTAGGTGAGGTAAGTGCTTGGAGCAACTGCATTACCTAAAGAGCTATGGAGAACATTTGAGGCAAATAGAGAGGCTCTGAAAATGACTTGAAGTCAATGGGTGTATAAAAGAATTATGTTTAAATATACTGGAAAATTTTTATGATAAAAGCTGTTATATGGAAAATGTTAGTTTATTTTTATTTTTAAGCTTGTTCTAATTTGAATATTTATAGTTAATAAGTATATTAGGAATATCAATATATGGTTTCAAATAAATATATTTTATAGAAGTTATCATTTTGTTCTATATATTATTGTCAACCATCTTCATCTGAAATAATTGCGTTATACCTAGAGCAATTTAAACTGACAGTCGTAGTCAAATGATGTGGAAAAATGACTAAAGGAGAATTCAGTATAATGTAACGTACTTGCAATGCCTGAGTTTTCTCTATAACTGGAATGTCAGCTGTAGCTTTTGAGGCCTGTGAGATTTGGATGTGATTGATTCACACACTATTTCCTAAATTATAAAAATAAAAATGCATCTCGGAACTTCCCTCCAATTTCTAGTGTGACTTGCAATTGCATTGATTCTGCTGACTTTATCTTCTTTCTGCATCTGTGACTCTTCCTTTATTTCTAACTAGGCATGAAAAATATGAGTCATTTGCCCTTGTCCTTAAGCTTACCCAAGAAATGAAGAACCAAGAATAGTGTATGTAAAATAACTTTTAGTAAACAATTGAGACCACTTAGGGTAAAACATCACATAAAAACAAATTTTTTAAAACTTAAAGAACATAGCTTAGCTCTTTGAACTATTTCCTACTATGGAAATCTTACGATTTGTAACACTTCCTGTAGCATCCTGGTTTCTCACCTACTCAAATATCCTCTCCATCTTTATTAAGTGAAAAGTTGTATTTATTTATGATATACAGCATAAAGTTTTGATATATGTATAATTATGCAATTATTATTCAAGCTAATTAACAAATCATTAACTCACATACTTACCTGTTTTGTGGTGAGAACATTTAGGATCTGTTATCTTAGCAATTTTCAAGTATGCAGTACAGTTTTATTAACTATAGTCACCATACTATAGAATAGATCTCTTGAATTTATTCCTTCTAACTGAAACTTTGTACCCTTTGACCAGCATCTCCCCATTTTCCCTCCCTCCACTGCTAACCCCTGACAAGCCTCATTCTACTACTTTGTGCTTCTATGAGTTCATTTTATGTAGATTTCACACATTAGATCGTGCAGTATTTATTTTTCTGTGCCTGGCTCATTTTACTTAGCAAAGTGTCCTCAGGTTTGCCATGTGTTTGAAAATATTAGGACTTCCTTCTTATTTTAAGGCAGAATAGTATTCTATTGTATATAAACTACACTTTTTAAATTCACTCATTCATTGATTGACTCTTAGATTGATTCAATACTTTGGCTATTATGAATTTGCTGCCATATTCATGGAAGTGGAGATAGCTCTTCAACATAGTGATTTAATTCTTTTGGATATAAACCCAGAAGTGTGATTGATGGATCATATGGCAGTTCTATTTTTATTTATTATTAATTAATTAATTAATTAATTTTTTGAGACAGAGTCTCGCTCTGTCGCCCAGGCTGGAGTGCAGTGGTGGGATCTCGGCTTACTGCAACTCCCACCTCCTGGGTTCTAGCGATTGTCTTGCCTCAGCCTCCAGAGTAGCTGGGACTACAGGTAAGCACCACCACGCCCAGCTAATTTCTGTATTTTTAGTAGAGACAGGATTTCTTGTGTGTGTGTGTGTGTGTGTGTGTGTGTGTGTGTGTGTGTGTCCTAGCAAATCTTTAATTACCCTAAGGCCGATGTAGTTTCTCGTATAAGTTCTTATGAAATCTTTTATTTTTCATTATTTTTATGTTTATTTTACTTTAAGTTCTCGGATACATGTGCAGAATGTGCAAATTTGTTACATAGGTATACATGTGCCATAGTGGTTTGCTGCACCTATCAACCTGTCATCTAGGTTTTAAGCCCCACATGCATTAGATATTTGTCCTAATGCTCTCCCTCTCCTTCCCCCTGAACCCGTGACAGGCCCCAGTGTGTGATGTTGCCCTCCCTGTGTCCATGTGTTCTCATTGTTTAACTACCGCTTATGAGTGAGAACATGCAGTGTTTAGTTTTCTGTTCCTGTGTTATTTTGCTGAAAATAATGGTTTCCAGCTTCATCCATGTCCCTGCAAAGGACATGAACTCATTCTTTTTTATGGCTGCATAGTATTCCATGGTGTATATGTGCCACATTTTCTTCATCCAGTCTATTATTGATGGGCATTTGGGTTGGTTCCAAGTCTTTCCTATTGTAAATGGTGCTGCAATAAACATACATGTGCATGTGTCTTTATAGTAGAATGATTTATAATCCTTTGGATATATACGCACTCATGGGATTGCTGGGTCAAATGGTATTGCTGGTTCTAGATCCTTGAGGAATCGCCACACTGTCTTCCACAATGGATGAACTAATTTACTCTCCCACCAACAGTGTAAAAGCATTCCTATTTCTCCACAGACTCGCCAGCATCTGTTGTCTCCTGACATTTTAATAATTGCCATTCTAACTAGTGTGAGATGGTATCTCGTGGTTTTGATTTGCATTTCTCGAATGACCAGTGATGACGAGCTATTTTTCATGTGTTTGTTGGCTCCATAAATGCCTTCTTTTGAGAAGTTTCTATTTATATCCTTTGCTCACTTTTTGATGGGGTTGTTTGTTTTATTTTCATAAATTTGTTTAAGTTCCTCATATATTCTGGATATTAGACTTTTGTCAGATGCATAGATTGCAAAAATTTTGTCCCATTCTGTAGGTTGCCTGTTCACTCTGATGGTAGTTTCTTTTGCTGTGCAGCAGCTCTTCAGTTTAATTAGATCCCATTTGTCAATTTTGTCTTTTGTTGCCGTTGCTTTTGGTGTTTTAGTCATGAAGTCTTTGCCCATGCCTATATCCTGAATGGTATTGCCTAGGTTCTTTTCTAGGGTTTATATGGTTTTGGGTTCTACATTTAAGTCTTTAAGCTATCTTGAGTTAATTTTTGCCTAAGGTATAAGGAAGGGGTCCAGTATCAGTTTTCTGCATATGGCTAGCCAGTTTTCCCACCACCATTTGTTAAACAGAGAATCCTTTCCCCATTGCTTGTTTCTGGTAGAGATGGGATTTCACCATGTTGGCCAGGCTGGTCTCAAACTCCTGACCTCAGGTGATCTGCCGACCTCGGCCTCCCAAAGTGTTGGAATTACAGGCATAAGCCACTGCGCCTGGCCCTATTTTAAATTTATTTAGGAAACTTCATAGTGTTTTCCCTCATGGCTGTCCTAATTTACATTTCAAAAAACAATGTAACAATGTATAAGAATTCTCTTTTCTCCATATTCTTCCCACCACCTGTTGTCCTTTGTGTTTTTCATAATAGATCTAACTGGTGTGAGGTATGAGGTGATAGCTACTGGTGTGGGCCTGAACTTTAGGTCCAGTGGAACCTAGAGTGGTGGGGATCAACCTGAAGCCTGGAACTGGCCTGGTTCTAGAGTGGAACTTGCTGCCTTAGGGGCTTGTCTGGAGCCTGGGTTTATGGGGCCCAGCTTATATGTGCTGGTCTGGAGGCTAGGCCCTTGGGTACTGGCATGGATCTTGGGACTACAGAGTCTGACCTAGGGGGCCAACTGGCACTGGAAAGTCCTATTTTGCCGTTTTATTGATATCACTTCTCACTCTTTAAATTTTTTTTGGCTTTTTAATTTTCTGGGCTCTTTTCTCCTTCTTCTCTTACAAAATATATACATTTTCTTTTATATGTGTAGACTTTTTGTTTTCTTTTGGGAGGTTATGTTGGGAACAGGCCCCCAAATCTGGCCATAAACTGGCCCCAAAACTGGCCATAAACAAAATCTCTGCAGCCCTGTGACATGTTTGTGATGGCCATGATGCCCATGCTGAAGGTTGTGGGTTTACCAGAATGAGGGCAAGGAACACCTGGCCCACCCAGGGCAGAAAACCGCTTAAAGGCATTCCTAAATCACAAACAATAGCATGAGTGATCTGTGCCTTAAGGACATGTTTCTGCTGCAGATAACTAGACAGAGCCCATCCCTTTGTTTCGGCCCATCCCTTTGTTTCCCTTAAGGAATACTTTTAGTTAATCTATAATCTATAGAAATAATGCTTATCACTGGCTTCGTGTCAATCAATATGTGGGTCAAACTCTGTTCAGGGCTCTCAGCTCTGAAGGCTGTGAGTGCCCTGATTTCCCACTCCATACTCTATATTTCTGTGTGTGTGTCTTTAATTCCTCTAGTGCCGCTGGGTTAGCATCTCCATGATCGAGGTGGTCTTGGCAAGGTTATAATTATAGGATATCTAATATTGAATCCTAGTCATATTAACCTGTGCTATTTAATTTGTAATCTGAAAGTGATCAGTTACTAATAATTCCCCCAAAGTGTAACACAGATATTATTGTTTTTATTGTTTTGTACTTTTCAAACCAGTCAAGCAAACTTTATGCAGCAGAACAACAAGAATGAGTTCTCTCACTTTATCAAACTGAAGGGAGGAGATAGGTGCTTGCATAAGCTCTGGCAACTTGTATATGAAAAAATCAGGGTAAGGACAATACATTTTTAGCTCTGACGACCTGTTCCTATGTCAACAACACTGAAGGCAAAGTAGAAGCCCTGAGATGCTCCCCTTGTCAGGCCTAAACCTCATGTCAACGTTTGTGAACTGGGATTTCCAAAGCAGAAATGAATTTATGCGGCAAGCAATTTTACTGTAGAACTAACAGTGAAGCCAGCTTTTTCCCAGATAGGAATGATGACTAACTGCACTGAAGCATCAGCTTCTTTTTCCCTGTAAACTTCTGTCAGGAATACCACAAAAGTGTGATTGTGTTCTCCTTAGTGCATCCTATCAGTATGTACATATTTCTTTATTCTGTTATGGGCAATATTGGCTTTGATTACTTGGTTAATGTTGTATCTGCCAGGCATCTTTACTATAAAAATTAGTGTTTTTCTCAGTAATATATAAGTGTCATGTGGGGAAGTATGTTGAGATTAGGTAGCATTCTGTTTTTTAACTAGCTTTCATCCACTAGTTTTATTAGTAAGCATCCCTTAATATTCCTTCCCAGAAACAATTATTACTATAGTGGTTTCCAAGTAATGATTCTTAAAGTTCCATCATTCCTTCCAAATTTAATAATTTGTGTGGCAGGCTAAATACTTCCTCTCCTTCTCTCAAATGATCACAACCTAATCACTGGGATAAGTTATTATATATTACCTTACGTGGCAAAATTAATTTTATTTTTTATATTTTAAGTCCTGGAAGACATGTGCGGAATGTGCAGGTTTGTTACATAGGCATACATGTGCCATGCTGGTTTGCTGCACCCATCAACTCATCATCTACATTAGGTATTTCTCCTAATGCTATCTCTCCCTAGCCCTCCCACCTTCTAACAGACCCTACTGTGTGATGTTCCCATCCCTGTGTCCATGTGTTCTCACTGTTCAACTCCCACTTATGAGTGAGAACATGCAGTGTTTGGTTTTCTGTTCCTGTTTTAGTTTGCTGAGAATGATGGTTTCCAGTTTCATCCATGTCCCTACAAAGGACATAAACTCGTTCTTTTTTATGGCTGCATAGTATTCCATGGTGTATATGTGCTACATTTTCTTATTCCAGTCTATCATTGATGGGCATTTGGGTTGGTTCCAAGTCTTTGCTATTATGAATGGTGCTGCAATAAACATACATGTGCATGTGTCTTTATAGTAGAATGATTTATAATCCTTTGGGTATATACCTAGTAATGGGATTGCTGAGTCAAATGGTATTGCTGGTTCTAGATCCTTGAGGAATTGCCCCACTGTCTTCCACAATGGATGAACTAATTTACATTCTCACCAACAGTGTAAAAGCATTCCTATTTCTCCACATCCTCTCCAGCATCTGTTGTTTCCTGACTTTTTAATGATCACCATTCTAACTGGTGTGAGATGGTATCTCATTGTGGTTTTGATTTACATTTCTCTAATGACCAGAGATAATGAGCTTTTTTTCATATGTTTGTTGGCTGCATCAATGTCTTTTTTAGAGAACTGTCTGTTCATATCCTTCGCCCACTTTTTGATGGGGTTGTTTTTTCTTGTAAATTTGTTTAAATTCTTTGTAGACTCTGGATATTAGCCCTTTGCCAGATGGATAGATTGCAAAAATTTTCTCCCATTCTGTAGGCTGCTTGTCCAGAAGGTTTCTTTTGCTGTGCAGAAGCTCTTTAGTTTAATTAGATCCCATTTGTCAATTTTGTCTTTTCTTGCCATTGCTTTTGGTGTTTTAGTCATGAAGTCTTTGCCCATGCCTATATCCTGAATGGTATTGCCTAGGTTTTCTTCTAGGGTTTTTATGGTTTTAGGTCTTACGTTTAAGTCTTTCATCTGTCTTGAGTTAATTTTTGTGTAAGGTGTAAGGAAGGGGTCCAGTTTCAGTTTTCTGCATATGGCTAGCCAGTTTTCCTAACACCATTTATTAAATAAGGAATCCTTTCCCCATTGCTTGTTTTTGTCTGGTTTGTCAAAGATCAGGTGGTTGTAGACGTGTGGCATTATTTCAGAGGCCTCTGTCCTGTTCCATTGGTCTATATATCCGTTTTGGTACACATACCATGCTGTTTTGGTTACTGTATTCTTGTAGTATAGTTTAAAGTCAGGTAGCATGATGCCTCCAACTTTCTCCTTCTTGCTTAGGATTGTCTTGGTTATACGGGCTCTGTTTTGGTTCCATGTGATATTTAAAGTAGTTTTTTTCTAATTCTGTGAAGAAAGTCAGTGGTAGCTTGATTGGGATAGCACTGAATCTATAAATTACTTTGGGCAGTATGGCCATTTTCATGATATTGATTCTTTGGTATGTTTTTGCAGTGGCTGGTACTGATTTTTCTTTTCCATATTTAGTACTTCCTTCAGGAACTCCCGTAAGGCAGGACTGGTGGTGACGAAATCTCTCAGCATTTGCTTGTCTGTAAAGGATTTTGTTTCTCCTTCACTTATGAAGCTTAGTTTGGCTGGATATGAAATTCTGGGTTGAAAATTCTTTTCTTTAAGAATTTTGAATATTCGTTCTCACTCTCCCCTCGCTTGTAGGGTTTTTGCTGAGAGACCTGCTGTTAGTCTGATGGGCTTCCCTTTGTGGGTAACGTGACCTTTCTCTCTGGCTGCCCTTAACATTTTTTTCTTTCATTTCAACCTTGGTGAATATTATGATTATGTGTCTTGGGGTTGCTGTTCTTGAGGAATATCTTAGTATTTTTCTCTGCATTTCCTGAATTTGAATGTTGACCTGTCTTGCTAGGTTGGGGAAATTCTCCTGGATTATATCCTGAAGAGTGTTTTCAAGCTTGGTTCCATTCTCCCCATCACTTTCAGGTACACCAATCAAACGTAGGTTTGGTCTTTTCACATAGTCCCATATTTCTTGGAGGCTTTGTTCATTCATTTTCATTCTTTTTTCTCTAATTTTGTCTTCACGCTTTATTTCATTAAGTTGAATTTCAATCTCTGATATCCTTTCTTCTGCTTAATCAATTCGGCTATTGATACCTTTGTATGCTTCACAAAGTTCTCGTGCTGTTTTTCAGCTCCATCAGGTCATTTATGTTCTTCTCTAAACTGATTAATTTAGTTAGGAAGTCTTCTATCTTTTCTTCAAGGTTCTTAGCTTCCTTGCATTGGGTTAAAACATGCTCCTTTAGCTTGGAGGAGTTTGTTATTACCCACCTTCTGAAGCCTACTTGTGTCAATTCGTCAAACTCATTCCCCATCCAGTTTTGTTCCCTTGCTCGTGAGGAGTTGTGATCCTTTGGAGGAGAAGAGGCATTCTGGATTTTGGAATTTTCAGCCTGCAAAAGGGTTTTTATAGATGTGATTAAATTCTCAACCTTGAGTTGGGATTATTATCCTGTATTAGCCAGGAGGGCTGACATAATCACACATATCCATATAAGAGAGAGGGCATGTAAGTTCTTTCCTGCCACATTCTTAGTCAGAGAGAAGATATTCTGCTGCTGACTTTAAAGATAGAGGAATGGGCCATGAGCCACGGAATACAGGTTGCTTCTAGAAGCTGGAGTAGTTGAGGAAACATGTTCTGTCCTAGAGCCTGCGGAAGATGTGCAGCCCTGTAGATCCAATTTAGTCTTTCTTTCTCCAGATATATAAGATATTTTTGTTATTTTAAACACCAAATTTGTAGTAATTTGTTTTAGCAACAATGGAAAACTAATAGAGTTGGCATTCTATATGAAGGAATAGCTTTCCTTTGTTCCTGTGTGTGTGTGTGTGTGTGTGTGTGTGTGTGTACGTGTGTGTATCAGGTATTATTTATCTATGTGTCTATCCATATATCTTAATATGGTCTTATGCATTCTTATTTCATTCTATCATTATTTTGATGCTGAAATGGTCAGTGTTTTGGCTAGAGAGGATCCCTTCTGGGTGGCTTATATGTCTTTTTTATATGTCTCCATACTTCTTAAAATATTTTCTTACTGTTGGCAAACTCAGATGAACTTGACATATCTGACACTTTTCTTTGGGAGGAACAGATAACTTTGTTTATCTTAGGTCAAATGACAAAAACTTTGAATAAAGCAATGGGGTTTCCTAATGAACAATTCACTAGAAATGCATGGAGTAGATAACACCAAGAGATGGTAATATTGTTGGCAAATATTTATTTTGTTATAACACCACATTTCTTTACCCTCTCAGGAAATGGAAAGTTTTTGTATTGTGCTTGAGAGTGGGGCAATGGTGAAGAACAGTGACTGGCTATGGGTTTGGGGAGTCATTTGGCAGGAGTGTAAATCCTTGAAATTTGAAGATCTTTCAAATTACCTTGATTCTCCTCAACAAAATACTAGCAAACCAAATCCAACAGCATATAAAAACCCAATTTCTTAGCTTTTTGTTGAAATAGCTATTTCCTCACGTTTTCTATCTTCTAGAGGTGACCTATATTCCTTGGCTCATGGCCCATTCTTCTATCTTTAAAGTCAGCAGCAGAGTATCTTTTCTCTGACCTCCAGCCTCCCTCTTATATGGACACAGGTGATTATATTAGCCTACCTGCCTAATCCAGGATAATATCCCCATCTCAAGATTCTGAATTTAATCACATCTATAAAAGTCCTTTTGCCATGTAAAGTAACATATAATCACAGGCTCCACAGATTAGGGTGTGAGCATTTGCATCGCAGAGAAAAAGCCTACCATGACCCCTTGCGTCCCAGGGATAAAGCCTACCATGATCAAGTAGGCTTTATCCCTGAGAGGAAAGGTTGGTTCAACATATGCAAATCAATACATGTGATTCATCACATAAACAGAAATGAAAACAAAAACCACATAATTATCTCAATACATGCAGAGAAGGCTTTCAATAAAATTCAACATCCCTTCATGTTAAAAACCCTCAATAAACTAGGCATTGAAGGAATATACTTCAAAATAATAAAAGCAATCTATAAAAAACCCACAGCCAACATCATACTGAATGGAAAAAGCTGGAAGCATTCCCCTTGAAAACCGGCATAAGACATGGATGCCCTCTCTCACCACACCTATTCAACATAGTACTGGAAGTCCTGGCCAGAGCAATCAGGCAAGAGAAAGAAATGAAAGGCATCCAAATAAGAAGAGAGGAAGTTATACTATTCCTGGTTGCAAAAGACATGAATCCGTATGAGAAAACCCCATAGTCTTGGTCCAAAAGCTCCTTGATCTGATAAACAACTTCAGAAAAGTTTCAGGATACAAAAGCAATGTACAAAAATTTAGCATTCCCATACATCAACAACATTCAATCTGAGGGCTAAATCAGGAATGCCATCCCATTCACAACTGCCACAAGAAGAATAAAATACCTAGAAATTCTGCTAACCAAGAACGTAAAACATCTCTACAATGAGAATTACAAAAAACTGCTGAAAGAAATCAGAGGTGCCACAAACAAATGGAAAAACATCCCATGCTCATGGATACTAAGATTCAGTATCATTAAAATGGCCACACTGGTCCAAAGCAATTTATAGATTCAGTGCAACTCCTATCAAACTACCGATGACATTGTTCACAGCATTAGAAAAAAACTATTTTAAAATTTGTATGGAACCGAAAAAGAGCCCTAATAGCCAAGGCAATCCTAAGAAAAAAGGAAAAAGCTAGAGGCATCACCTTACCCAACTTATACTAGAGGGCTACAGTATCCAAAACAGCACGGTACTGGAAAAAAAAAAAACAAAACAAAACAGATATATAGACCAATAGAATAAATAGAGAACCCAGAAATAGTGCAACACACCTACAAAAAAATATGATCTTCAACAAAGCTGACCAAAACAAGCAATGGGGAAAGGACTCCCCATTTTATAAAAGGTGCTGGGATAAGTGACTAGCTCTGTGCAGAAGATTGAAACTGGATGCCAACTTTGCACCACATACAAAAATCAACTCAAGATGGATTAAACACTTAAATGTTAAAATGAAAACTATTAATATAAAAACTCTGGAAGATAACCTAGGAAATACCATTCTGGACATAGGACTTGGGAAACATTTCATCATGAAGATGCCAAAAGCAATTGCAACAAAAACAAAAATTGACAAATGAAGCCTAATTAAACTAAAGAACGTCTCACAGTAAGAGAAACTATCAACAGTGGAAACAGACAACCTACAAAATGAGAGAAAATATCTGCATACAATGCATTTGACAAAGGTCTAATATCTGGCATCTAGAAAGAACTTAAACAAATTTATAAGAAAGAAACAATGCCGTTTAAAAGTCAGCAAAAGACATGAACAGACACTTTCCAAAAGAAGGTACACATGCGGCCAAGCATATGAAAAAATGCTCAATATCATTAATCATTAGAGAAATGCAAATCAAAACCGCAATGAGATACCATCTCGTACCAGGTGGAATGGCTATTATCAAAAAGTCAAATTATTAATAACAGATACATCAAGGTTATGGAGAAAAGGGAATGCTTATACACTGCTGGTGGGAATGTAAATTACCTTAGCTATTGTGGAAAATGGTGTAATGATTCCTCCAAGAACTTAAAACAGAACTACTCTTCCACCAAGCAATCCCATTAGCGGGTATATACCCAAAGGAATATAAATCATTCTACCATAAAGACATATGCACGAGTATGTTCATTGCAGCACTGTTCACAACAGCAAATACATGAAATCAACCTAAATGCCCATCAACAGTAGATTGGGTAAAGAAAATGTGGTACATAGACCCCATGGAATACTATGCAGTCATAAAAAGAATGAGGTCATTTCCTTTGCAGCACCATGGATGGAGCTGCAGGCCATCATCCTAAGCAAACTAAATGGAAAAGAGCCAAATACCACATGTTCTCACTTATAAGTGGGAGCTAAACATAAGAACACATGGATACTAGAAGGTGAACCACATGCACTGGGGTCTACTTGACGGTGGAGGGTGGGAGGAGGAAGAAGATCAGAAAAAATACCTATTGAGTACTATGCTTATTACCTGGATGATGAAATTATCTGTACTCCAAACCCCTGTGATGCGCAGTTTACCTGTATAACAAACCTGCACATATACCCATGAACCTAAAATAAAAGTTAAAAAAACCTAAACCCCAAATTACCTTCAACCTTTATGAGTTTTTACATTTGAAAGTTAAATCGATAACTTAATGACAATAATTCAACTCTCTCATGCTTATCCCCCTCATCTAACCCAAAACAAAACAAGATGGGATGCTGAGGTGAGGAACCTTTGAATTTTTAAATAGTATTAGGTCTAGCAGAACCTCAGAAAGACATGTTTACATTAAGAGGACTTTGACTATTGATATGGGCATGTAAGTTCTTTACTGCCACGTTCCTAGTAATTCCTGAATTGCACATGTATGAAATGACATTAATTCTCTCATACTTTAGGGTTGCTTGTTAGTGCCTAGAAGGAATACAGTCTCTGTGGCCAGTCTCCTTGGATCAACAAGAGCCTTGTAGTTTCCCATTTTTCATGCGCTAATAGTGAAAATGTTTAGAAAGCCCCATCTATCCTCCCACATTGGCATCCCACTGATGTGCTGTCCTGGTTGCTAGGTGCAGATTTAGGTTCCAAGCAGAACACTGCTAGTGTTCTCTGCAGTTTGTTGTAGAATCATAGTGTCTTGGCAACCAAAGGCAGATCTGGTGCTATGGAGGACCTGCTTACTGCTATGAGGTGTTACTTTATAGAGGTCCTGGAGAAGCTGATTGAGGCCACGTCAATGTTGCAAGGAGACATGAGACTCACATCAGAGTTCTATGGCTTAACATGGGGGATGGTGGTAAGTGCGGCTCTATTTGGATTTTGTAATTATAAAAGCCCACTTTATGTAGAGAGAAAAAAAAGAGTTTACCAGAGAAGTTTCTTCTGTAGTTGAAGACAAATGTAATGTTTTAATAAATTAGGCTGATTAAAAAAGAATATGAGCTTGGTGTGGTGGCTCATGCCTGTAATCCCAGCGCTTTGGGAGGCTGAGGCGGGTGGATCACCTGAGGTCAGGAGTTTGAGACCAGCCCGGCCAACATGGTGAAATTCCGTCTCTACTAAAAATACAAAAAATTAGCCAGGCATGGTGGCAGATCCTGTAATCCCAGCTACTTGGGAGGCCGAGGCAGGATAATCCTTGAACCTGGGAGGCAGAGGTTGCAGTGAGCCGAGATCACGCCATTGTACTACAGCCTGGGCAATGGGAGTGAAACTTTGTCTCTTAAAAAAAAAACGAGTATGAAGAGTATAAATTATTTTTCATGGAGTCTTGCCCTTAGAACAAGGCATTAAATCCTCTAAGTGTATAGGAAATTTGAGTTCAAAATAGATGCTTTGAAAAAAAGGAATGTTTTTGAAAAATGCGAATTTTTACAGATTTACAATGTAGAAGTGCAGTTGTGTTCCATGGATATATTGCATAGTGGTGAAGTCTGATTTTTCAATGTATCCATCATCCAAATAAAATACATTGTCCTCAGTAGGTAGTCTTTCATCCCTCAACCCTTTCCCAGCCTCCCACCTTTTGGAGTCTCCAATGCCTATATTTCACTCTATATCCACATGTACCCATTGTTTAGCTCCCACTTATAATTGATAATATGTAGCATTTGGCTTTTTGTTTCTGAGTTCTCTTAAGCCAATGGCCTCCAGTTACAGTCACGTTGCTGCAAAAGACATGATTTCAGTCTTTTTATGGCCAAGTAGTATTCTAAAGTGTGTATATATGTATACCACATTTTAGAAATCCAATAGTCCACTGATGGACACTCAGGCTGATTTTATTACTTTGCTATTGTGGATAGTGCTGCGATATACATAGACACATAGGTTTCTTTTTGATATAATGATTTCTTTACCTTTAGCTTGATATCCAGTAATGGGATTGCTGGATCGAATGGTAGCTCTATTTTTAGTTCTTTGAAAAGTCTCCATACTGTTTTCCACAGAGGTTGTACTAATTTACATTCCCACCAATAGTGTATGTAATCCTTTTCTCTATACCCTCGGCAAAATTTTTTTTTTCTGAATTTAATAATGGCCATTTTGACTGGCATAACATAATATCTCACTGTGGTTTTAATTTGCAGTTCTCTTATGATTAGCATTTGTTCATATGATTATTGGCCATTTATATGTCATCTTTAAAAAAAAAAGAACACCTTAAAGTTCAGAATGAATTACATTCATGGCTAGGTTTAGAATATGGGTTCCGTTACTGGAAGATGTGTTGAAGTCTTTTAAATAGTGAGAAGCTAATGCCAAAATAGCCTTAAAACTATGTCAGAAGAGGAAAAAAAACAACTTAAGACAGCAAAAAAAAAAAAAAAAAAATTGGGTTTGGATGAGCATTTCAATCTTGAGAAAAACCTAACGTGTTTGCAAAAGAAACTCAAGGATTGGATGACAAGTTTACCACTGGGCAAAAGGATATTTATATCCTTGGATTAAGTGTTAAGTGATAAGAAATCAAATCAAATAACTGAGTAAACAGTTGATGAATATTCCCTACTATACTTGGAGAAGATAAAATGGATGCTGGGACTTAGAATTGGATCAAATCAGAACAAGTACCAATCAATGTTCAGTCAAAGGTGATTGATTTGTTTATGCTTCTTAAAATACTTTTTTTTTTCTTTTTTGTGATGGAGTCTTGCTCTGTCGCCCAGGCTGGAGTGCAGTGGTGCAATCTCAGCTCATTGCAACCTCCATCTCCCGGTTTCAAGTGATTCTCCTACCTCAGCTTCCCGAGTAGCTGGGATTACAAGCATGCACCACCAATTCTGGCTAATTCTTGTATCTTTAGTAGAGACAGTGTTTCACCCTGTTGCCCAGTCTGGTCTCAAACTCCTGACCTCAAGTGACCCTCCCACTTTGGCCTCCCAAAGTGCTGGGATTACAGGTGTGAGCCACCGTGCCTGGCCTCTTACAAGACTCTTCATGGAGAGAGAAATAAAATAGAAATTAGGTTGTATGAATAACATTGAATCTTGAAGCCTTTAAAAATCACACTGAACATATTCGGCATGAATTAAGCATTTTTTAAAATTATACTTTAAGTTCTGGGGTACATGTGCACAATGTGCAGGTTTGTTACATAGGTATACATGTGCCATGTTGATTTGCTGCACCCATCAACTCGTCATTTACATTAGGTATTTCTCCTAATGCTATCCCTCCCCCAGTGCCCCCCACCCCCCGACAGGCCCTGGTGTGTGATGTTCCCCACCCTGTGTCCAAGTGTTCTCATTGTTCAACTCCCACTTATAAATGAGAACATGCAGTGTTTGGTTTTCTGTCCTTGTGATAGTTTGCTGAGAATGATGGTTTCCAGTTTCATCCATGTCCCTGCAAAGGGCATGAACTCATCCTTTTCTATGGCTGCATAGCATTCCACTGTGTATATGTGCCACATTTTCTTTATCCAGTGTATTATTGATGGACATTTGGGTTGGTTCCAAGTCTTTGCTATTGTGAGTGCCACAATAAACATACGTGTTCATGTGTCTTTATAGTATAATGATTTATAATCCTTTGAGTATATACCCAGTAATGGGATCGCTGGGTCAAATGGTATTTCTAGTTCTAGATCCTTGAGGAATCGCCACACTGTCTAAGCATTTGTCTAGTAAGAAAATGTAATTTGAAAGTAAGGTTCAGAACATTTAACCAAATGTTCAAGTAATTTCTAAACTGTATTGAGAAAATGGAATAAAGTTTCATAGATTATTTGTATTAGAAAAAGTTAATTAGAAAGTTTTCAAATGCACATTAAGTGATAGATACACACACACACAAAACAAAAATTCTTAGAGAAAAAAATGAAAAAACTGACCTGTTCTTATCAAAGACATGATTTCCCACATTTAAAAAACCTTGTAATAGTTGATTTACAGTTAAGTTGACTGATGGAAATCTCACTGATTTAAGAAAATCTATATGAAAGTCCAGATACCAGTATTTTTTCCTATAAAAAGCTACGTAGTCAATATTAAGGCTTTGTAAACCAAGACACAAAACTGGAGTATTATGAAAGTACTTATATAACAAAATTAAAAATAAATTCTCACAATTTTTTTTTGTTGCTGAAACAAAAGCACTGAAAATAATAAATACTAGCAAGAATGCAAAGTGAGGGAAACTCTCTTTGATTGCTGGTAGAAATGCAAAGTGGTGCAACCACTTTGACTATTTGGCAATTTTTATAAAGTTTAATATAGTCTTGCCATATGACTTAACAATCACATTCCTAAGTATTTACCCTAGTGAATTAAAACTTAGGTCCGTGTAAAAATCTGCATGCAAATGTTTATATCAGTTTCATTCATAATTACTCCAAACTGTAAGCAACCCATGCCCTTCAACAGGGGAAAGATAATCTTGGGTATTTCCACACAATGATCTATGATTTTGTGGAAGTTGATTGATCAATGAATACTATTGATCAATGGGATGGAATGAGCTACTGATACATGCAACAACATGAATATATGTTAAGGGTATTTTACTAAATGAATGAAGCCAGACTTCAAAGTCTGAATATTGTATGATTTCATTCATAAGACATCTGGGGAAAAAAAACCCACTGGGATGGAAACACATCAGTGGTATCCAGGGCTTAGTGTAAGGGAGATTAGTTTATTACAAAGAAGACACACAGGGGAATTTTTAAATGATGGAGTTGTTTTGTATGGTGCTGCACTAGTAATACACAAGTCCATGATTTATTAATCCCTAAGTAGTGTATCACAAAATTGCACTCAAATGCATGCAAATAAACAAGCAAAAATATCACCAAGATGTGGGAAGATCCTAGAATGGTATGACAGTGGCAAATCAACCTCACTTTATATAAATATGTAAGCTAACAACACTGAAAAGGGTAGAGAAGAAGTAAAAAGTGGCCTAACTTACCTTGAGAAATAATGTTTTGATTAAAAAATGTCAGACTGTAGACAAAAGTAACTTTGCATAAATATGGTATTCTGAATAGTAAATTTGTTTCTCATGCGGGTTCAGCTAATTCTGTAATTGCTTCACATGCATACCAGTTGAACAAAAATATTAAAATATGAACAGTGGCATCCAGGTTTCTCCCTGTTGGTAAGAGAAGTTACAGAGAAGCAAGAAAGGAAGGCCAGAATGACCATTAGGGACTGTGTTAGAGTCAGAGTTATCACTATGACCTCATGTTTAAACACAAGCCCAAATGCACATGGACACACACAGATGGACAAATAAGGAAACAACGACAGATATGTGTGTATTCAGGGCTTACTGTGTAGACACACATTACCTAGCCCTTTCTGCTGAAATAGCCTAGAAACAATGTTACCCTCATAGCAATGTGCACATGTCACACTCAGATAATGTTTTCTAATGCCATTTTCCAGTGAAAAGAAACAGAGATCGTTGGAGAAATGTCTGATTATAAGATATTTCTAAGCCTGGTGAAGAAATATATAAGAGAAGCCTGGAGAAGAACCAGTAATACCAGAAATCAGGGAGGGGCCCTGAAGAGAAAAGGATAACAAAAGGATGAAGACCTGTCCAAGGGACCCAGCAGCTAACTTGAAAGAGCTCTCAATGGGTAAAGCTGGAGCAATTTCAACAACAAAATAAATAACATATCACTGGATTATAACCTGAAGTATAAAACGTATGAGTCCATACTCTTATAAATAAATGATTGAATAAATACATAAATGAGAAGAAGGGAGAAATCTTCCTTACTAGTCTATTAATAGTCCCCACTTTCAGATGTGGAGCTCATGATCTCCTTTGTTAAGTGTAGGCTGGACTCAGTGACTGTCTTCCAAGGAATAGAGTATGGACAGGTAACAATTGTAAGTTTCAGTTTTATTTAGTGAAAACACTACCTTAACCAAGTGATTAAAGTCAGCACCATCAGTGATGCCATGTAGATATTATGTAACCCCTGCTCTGATGGGATAAAAAGGGCACTTTACCTCTGTGGTCTCCTCTGCAAAAATTCAAAGGCCCAGTGTAATTGATGGCAGCTGAAACCCATCTGGACTGTGATGCCGGCTGTAGTAGGGGAGATGCAGGTGTGGCTGTGCGCTCCGTGGAGCCCCTGGAGCCGGGAACAGGCGGAAGCCCCAACCCCTTATGAGTTGACAGGGCAAGAGCCTTGTGCTCCCCAGGCTCAGCTGCAGTTGCCCAGCAGCGGCTGTGGACAGGACATCCCTGTGCGCTTGGGGTTCAGGAGCAGGCAGAAGCCCCACCCTCCCTGGTGCAGCTGCAGCTGCTCAAGCTGTGTCTACAAACCTGGGCATCCCTGTGTTCTTGGGTGCCAGGAGTAAGAGCCCTGCCCTCCTGGGCGCAGCTGCAGATGCCCAAGCTGCAGCGGCAGACCCGGGCATCTCTGCACTCTTGGGGGCCTGGGAAAGCCCTTTTTGCCCCCGCAGGCTTGGAGGTGCCTGCTCCTGGTGTCTGATCTCTCCCTGCTCCTGGTGCGTGCTCTGATCTCGGAGCGTGGTTGAGGCCAGGCCCAGGTGCTATTGCAACCTGGCCTGGTGTGCCCACACTTGGGGCAGCACTGACATGCCAGTCTTCTGCCACCTCAGCCCCCTCTGGGCTTTGGGCACCAGTAAGCAAGGGAGGGAGGCTGGAGGGGGTGCTGCTGAGGGCAGCTTGGCGCTGGCCTGCAGGTGCCTCTTGGCAGGAACAGCCTGGGCACCGTCAACAGTGGCAGGAGGCCCACAGGCTCCTGGGCAGAAAGGGACGGGTCCCCGGTGAGGCCCCACCTTCAACTCAGGGAAGGATTGAAGCCTGGGAGACGGGCTGCCAGCCTCGCAGACTGGAGTGGGGACTTACGATGCTTTTTCCAAGCCTGCCCGTGGCTGCCCAAGGACCAATCAGCAAGCACTTCCTTTCCTCTGAAGTCCATAAAAATTCCCAGACTCAGCCAGACACAAAAAGATGTCAGGACAACCAGCTGCAGAGAGGAATTACCTACCCTAGGGTCTCTTTTCTGCTGAGACCTGAACACTCTGTGGGATGACCTGTCTGAGGAGAGGAGCTACCCACTCCAGGGTCTCCTCTCTGCGGAGAGCTGAACACTCGTTAGGACACCCTGGCTATGGAGAGGAGCGGGTTTCCTCTCAGCTGTTCTATTGTTCAATAAAGCTCCTCTTCACCTTACTCACCCTCCACTTATCCACATACCTCGTGAGTGTGGGACAAGAACTTGGGACCCACTGAATGGCATGGCTGAAAGAGCTGTCACACAAACAGGGCTGAAACATGCCCTTTCCTCACCTCATTGTGGTTGACATAAAGGAGATAAGAGATGCAACTCTTTGGGGAGCCCAGACCTAGGAGCTCCCTGAGCCAGGGCTGTGACACCCTTTTGGGTGGTTCTGTGGTTCCTGGTGCGGAAGCTGCTTGCAGTACACCTGGTCCAGCCGCAGACTTGCAGGGAGATGGCACCCCTGTCAGTGCCTGGAACTGCCTGCCCTGCTGCAGCAAGCATGCCTGGCTGTGTGCAGTAGCTGGACCCCACACTTGCTCCCTCATACACACCTGCCACAGTAAACATACTGCAGTATGTTGGGAGATATTGGATTTTACCAAAAGCTTTTTCAGCATCTATTGAGATGATCATATGGCTTTTCCTTTTAATTCTGTTTATGTGGTGAATCACATTTGTAGATTTGCAGATGTTCAACCAATCTTGCATGCCAGAAATAGAGCCTTCTTGATTGTGGTGTATTAACTTTTTGATGTGCTGCTGGATTTGTTTGATTAGTATTTTCTCAAGGATTTTTCCTTCTATGTTCATCAGGGATATTGGATGGAATTTTTTTCTTTTCTTTCTTTTTTTTTTTTTTTATTAAGCTAACTCACCTAACTTAGTGTGGGTCACATATCTTGGCTTGATAATCCCAAGCTGTGCTTAGAAACCCAGGTAGCACCAGGACATCCTGCAGCTCAGGGTTGGGCTCTGGCTGCACTGTGGGATCTGATATGCTTCTGGGTTGCTGGGAAAGTACTCAGGTGAAGCAAGGCATTCAGCTGGGCTGTGCAAGCTGCACAATGCACCTGCTTCTCCAGGGCAGCTAGGCATAGGACCTGAGAGGAGCCTGCAGGCAGGAGGGCTTGCAGAACAGATGTGTCTTAGTCCCATAGGGAAGCCAGCCCTGCTCTCCTTTGGCTTGACAGTCAGCTGAGTCAAGAGCCTTGCAGAGGGAGATGGGAAGCTCTCAGGGATGTGTGTCTATGGCTACCCTCCACCAAAGCTGCCCAGCACACAAAAGCTCCCAGGCTCTGCACTGTCTGAAGTACTGTCTCTGCCTGTTCCCCAGGGAGATACCCCTGCCAGCTAACACATTTATGGGGGATATGGGGTCTCTCATAGCTAGGATCCCAGAGGTACATGACAAGAGTGAGCTGTCCCTCAGTTCCCTGGCTCACCAATTTCCCAGGAGCCATCTGGGGCTGGGAACTAGCCCTGGCATTCAGGTACCACTTCAGGGTTTCCAGATTTCTGACTCTACAGCCTCAGCTTCAGCTTTGCTTCTCCATACACTCAGTGTTTTCTCTCCTAAGATCACACATTGACTTTGTATCCTGAGACTTTGCTGAATTTGCTTATCAGCTTAAGGAGATTTTGGGCTGAGATGATTAAATCAACCAATTTATGTTGATTAACTCA
Source organism: Homo sapiens (assembly GCF_000001405.40). Lineage (NCBI taxonomy): Eukaryota > Metazoa > Chordata > Mammalia > Primates > Hominidae > Homo > Homo sapiens. Next base: position 469,063 of record NT_167246.2, read on the forward strand.
ATAATTTGGTCTCTCTCGGTGAAAGCAGTGCTTCCTGGCTGCAACTAATTGGACATCTTGTCCCTTCCCATCTGTGTAACACATTTTTTATACATGCTTTATTTTGTCATAATTTTAGCTTTACAGAAAAGTTGCAAAGATGGCAAAGAATTCCCATATACACCTCAACCAGTTTCACTTTCACTTAATGTTACATTTCTCTGGTACATTTTTCAAAATTCAGAAACTAACATTGGTATGTTACTACTACCAAAACTCTAGACTATCTTTGGATTTCAGCAAGATTTTCTTTAACATCCTTTTTTTGTTGCAGAATCCCATCCAGGACACTCCATTGCCTTTAGTTGTCATGTGTTTCAGTTTCCTGAATCTCTGTTATCTTGTTTTTCATGATGTTGATAATTCTGAGTACTGCTCAGGTATCTTACAGAATGCACTTCAATCATGGTTTGTCCAATGTTTTCTAATGGTTATGTTACGGGATCCTTGGGTTATCACTTCACCAGCTGAAAACCTCTGTGGCTAGTGGCACTTATGCTGGGGTTTTGCTCAGGCCCACTGGCCCACTCAGCCTGGCAGCCTGTGCTCAGCTTACATTACCAGCCTGGATACTGCACACAGCCAGGCATGCTTGCTGATATTTCTGGTTCTAGATCCTTGTGGGAGTGTAAATTAATTCAACCATTGTGGAATGCCACAGTAAACATACATGTACATGCATGTTTATAGTAGAATGATTTATAATCCTTTGGGTATAAACCCAGTAATGGGATTGCTGGGTCAAATGATATTTCTGGATCTGGTTCTAGATCCTTGTGGAATTGCCACCCTGTCTTCCACAATGGTTGAATTAATTACACTCCCACCAACAATGTAAAAGCATTCCTATTTCTCCACATCCTCTCCAGCATCTGTTGTTTCCTGACTTTTTAATGGTCACCATTCTAACTGGCGTATGATGGAATCTCATTGTGGTTTTGATTTGCGTTTCTCTAATGATGAGTGATGATGAGCTTTTTTCATGTTTGTTGGCTACATAAATGTCTTCTTTTGAGAAGTGTCTGTTCATATCCTTTGCCCACTTTTTGATGGGGTTGTTTTTTTCTTGTAAATTTGTTTAAGTTCTTTGTAGACTCTGGATATTAGCCCTTTGTCAGATGGATGGATTGCAAAAATTTTCTCCCATTCTGTAGGTTGCCTGTTCACTCTGATGATAGTTTCTTTTGCTGTGCAGAAGCTCTTTAGTTTAATTAGATCCCATTTGTCTATTTTGGCTTTTGTTGCTATTGCTTTTGGTGTTTTAGTCATGAAGTCTTTGTCCATGCCTATGTCCTGAATGGTATTGCCTAGGTTTTCTTCTAAATCTTTTATGGTTTTAGGTTTTATGTTTAAGTCTTTAATCCATCTTGAGTTAATTTTTGTATAAAGTGTAAGGAAGTGGTCCAGTTTCTGTTTTCTGCATGTGGCTAGCCAGTTTTCCCAACACCATTTATTAAATAGGGAATCTTTTCCACATTGCTTGTTTTTTTCAGGTTCATGGAAGATCAGATGGTTGTAGATGTGTGGTGTTATTTCTGAGGCCTCTGTTCTGTTCCATTGGTCTATATATTTGTTTTGGTACCAGTACCATGCTGTTTTTAAAACCTGTTTTATAAAAAAGGGAATTATTGTGAGACTTCAATGAGCCAGTGCATACACATCTAGATTTTGGACAGTGCCTGAAACATAGGAAGGATCTAATGAATGTAAGCCAGTTATCATTAATAGTATGATTAGCATTAATCATTAGTAATAATCATTACTCATAATATTGAGTCATTATTTCAGCTTGTCATGTGTATGAAAAAGCAGAGATATAATTTATTATTGGTAATCCCAGTGCTTATTGTAATTTTATAATATTATGATATGAAATGATTAAATGTATATGTCACTTCTTTGTTTCTAGCATAGTGCAGAGAACATAGTTTCCTCATAAGTGAAAGTCAAGTCAATAGTAGGAGATATTTGGTTATCTGAAGGGCATAGCTGATAACAGTAATTGACTCAGCAGCTCTTCCTTCTTATTCTATTATTTTCACAGCCTCTACTCCTCTTCACCTTTTATATGGCACTGGTGCCAGTTCATTTATCAATTCTTTTTTTTTTTTTTTGCATTATCAGTAAATAAACTTATCCCTTGACAAGAGAATGGTGATTCCACTGTTATCTTAAACCTTTTCTTATTTATGCATCCTGCATATATCAAAAGAAACCTCAAATACCACTGATTCTTTTTCAATTAAAAAATTCCCACTGACTTTTTTATGTGTGGAGATATAATAAGCAAATTTTCATTCAAAAGTTTCAAAGGATAAGAAGGATTTTTGGAATCACTAAAAATACTTGATATTTATTTCAAGGTTCCCTGGAAACAAATTGGACATTCTGATTACTTAACATGATGCAACCCAGAGGTAATGATGTAGGTTAGATGATCTTGAAAGACCCTTCCCAATCATGGTAACATAATTCTCTGTGGTAGACACCACTCGCCTTTATTCTAAGTGTCCTAGAGATATCCATGCCTTTCTTTGTGTTGTGTTTCAAGGAAGTCTGGTGCAAAGACTGATACATGCAATGATGTTTTGAGCTTTCAACTCTTTTGCCATTCTGACTCAACTACCTTTTGCCCACAGATTGAGAATAAAATTATCATGTATCTTGCACTGCCTTAAGAACATATAAGTAAAAATCTTAAGATGAGGTAAAAGTGTGTTACAGATAATGTCTTCAGTCACCGGGATATTTTTGACTGACATGGGCTGTCCTTGCCAGGTTCCTAATGGATTTCCACAATGAGAAGCTGATTTTATAGACATTAGTAACATTTGCACTGTCACAGAGAGAAGGTTGTGGCTTTTAATAAAACCAGCCAGTATTTATTAAAGTCCTACTATTCTCACAATGTTGTGTCCTTTATTTTAACCTTAGGGATTCTGAGTCCCTCAAGTTTAATTGGTCATTGTGTCCCCAGAGGCAATAAGTTAACTCTATTCCCAATTGCACTGGTGGCATAATACTGACACATAGGTAGTTCACAAATTCTAAAACTAGGGTGAAGATTAGAGTTATAAAACATGAACTATGAAAAATAGGTTTGGAATGTATTAATTTGAAGAGCATAAGGCTAAATAAACATACAGCCACAAATTTCTTTATTTTTCATTTTTAAATTTTATAGCTGTATTGAGATATAATTTATTTACAATACAGTTCACCCATTTAAAGTGTACAAGTCAATGATTTTTGGTATATTTCATTACTAATTTATAACATTGTGGTAATATATAACATAAAATTTGCCATTTTAACTATTTTTAAGTGTACAATTTAATGGTGTTAATTATATTCATACTATTGTGTAAATCTTGCCACTATTTTCTAAACTTTTTCGTCATCCCAAACAGAAACTCTAACCCTTAGTGATAACTCTCCATTCCCCTCCCCCATCCCCTAGTAACTTTCAACCTACCTTATGTCTGTATGAATTTGCATGTTCCAGATATTTCATATTATTGGAAACATACAATTTTTGCCCTTTTAGGTCTGGCTTATTCATTTAGCATAAGATGTACATATTGCTTTATAGCCTGCTTTTTCACTTAGCAGCATATTGTGAGAATGTTCATGGTTAGGCAGGGACTAGGCAGTGGAGTTGGGTGGAATTTTGCAAACCATACTTAGGAGTTTGGATTCTGTTTTGTAGGACTTGGTCTCAGGGTCAAATAGGGAGTCTTTTGATGGTGTATATAGGAAAATGGTATTTCTATTGTTTACTGATTTTTTTGTGATGAATATGCTTGGACTAAATCTCCCAAAGATCTGTGGTTAAAATATTATTTATATCATATGATGTCATTTAACATAAATTAACACACTGAAGTTTAAGGTTAGCATTAATTCACTGGAGCAGAACAAGTAGAAATAATGAGATTGCAACTGGAATAGTTTTTGAAAATAAGAAGATTTATGCAATGTATAACTTAATAAGTGCTCACCAAAGATTTTCAGTGAAATAAAGAAAATTATAATTAAATTAAATATCTAGTATCAGCCTGGATATAGCCTGGATATATATTGTTTGTTTGTTTTGTTTTGTTTTGTTTTGTTTTTAAGACAGGATCTCACTCCCATGGCCCAGGCTGGAGTGCAGTGGTGCGATCACAGGTCACTGCAGCCTCGACTTCCCAGGCTGAGGTCATCCTCCCGCCTCAGCTGCCTGAGTAGCTGGTACCACAGGTGCACGCCACCAAGCCCAGCTAATTTTTGTATCTTTTGTAGAGATGGTGTTTTAATACATTGCCCAGGCTGGTCTCCAACTCCTGGGTTCAGGCCATCCACCTGCCTTGGCCTCTCAAAGTGCTGGGATTACAGGTGTGAGCCATGGCACCTGGCCACATGCTCGTATTTTAATGTATTTGTTTCCCCTTACTTTTCTTTTGTGTATCATTTTTTTGTTTTGAGATGGAGTCTTGCTCTTTTCGCACATGCTGGAGTGTAATGGCACGATCTCGGCTCACTGCAACCTCCGCCTCCTGGGTTAAAGCAATTCTCCTGCCTCAGCCTCCTGAGTAGCTGGGATTACAGGCACCCACCACCATGCCTGGCTAATTTTGTATTTTTAGTAGAGACGGGGTTTCTCCATCTTGGTCAGGCTGGTCTCGAACTCCCGACCTCAGATGATCTGCCTGCCTTGGCCTCCCAAAGTGCTGGGACCTCACCTGTAGTGTGAGCCACCTCCCGGCCATATCATGTATTTTTATAAATTGTAAACTGACATATGTAAAACAATCATTTTCTAATTTATAAAATTTTCTTGATATGCAGTTTTTGAAGCTATGTAACATTCTTTTTTAAATTAATAATTCATATATACATTATATATGTACATATATATACTTTCTCATTCTTCTACAATTAAATATATTTTCTGAATTTGTCACCTTATACTATAGATCATTCAGAATAAAGTGCTTTCCATATGTGATCTCTTTTAGACTGTTTATCAGAAATGATGTCAGTGAATTAAAAGTATTAGTATAGGCTGGGTGAGGTGGCTTACACTGTAATCCTAGCACTTTGGGAGGCTGAAGTGGGAGGATTACTTGAATTCAGGAGTTTGAGACCAGCCTGGGTGACATGATGAACTCCTGTTTCTACTAAAAATGCAAAAAAAAAAAATTAGCCAGGCATGGTGGTGCATACCTATAGTGTCAGCTACTCTGAAGACTGAGGTGGGAGGATTGCTTGAGCCTGGGAGGTGGAGGTCACAGTGAGCCAAGATTGTGCCAGTGCACTCCAGCTGGGGCAACAAAGCAAGACCCTGTCTCAAGAAAAAAAATTTTTAGAAGTGTTAGTATATAACAAATACATATTTCGAATTGCTTTTAAAAGGAATAGAATTGTTTGGACTTGAATTATAATAGAAAAGTAATTTTAGACAACTTATAAAAGCATAAATCTCACAAACATCATTGAAGAGATATACATATGTGTGTGTGTATATATATATATATATGCCTCCTCTTTTGATTTTCCTTATATCTTTTCAATTTTAATGTTGAATCCTAAATTATCCTCAGGGTTGTAAAGTTGCTTTTATTTTCCCTATTCCCCTTTAAATCCTAAGGTATACAATAGTGGTACTTCCTGTCATATCTTCATTTGCATTAGCAGTCAGACCCCTGAAATAAATCAGACAGATATTGGGATGACAGTAGCAAATTACCACAGATTGAAATAAGTAGTAGCCCCAATTGAATCTGCTGGAAGAGATATGTTATCCTTGATAGAGTATATTAGCATGTTACTGAGTACCCCGTATGCATACATTGATCTGGTAAATGTTTTCTTTTTCATCCTTATCAGGAAACATGATCAGGGAGTTTGCACTCACTTGGAGCTGACAATACTATACCATGTCCCAGAGCTATGCTAGGTTTTTCATCTTCCATCATAAAATACTGAAGAGAACGGGACTAGCTGTATATTCTGTAGGCCGTCACACTGGCCAACTATATCTAACACATCATGCGTATCAGACAATATGAACAAGAAGTGGTCAATACATTAAAAGCCTTGATAAGACACATGTGATCCAGAGAGTGAGTGTTGCACTCCATAAAGATTCAGGGACCTAAAGCATAAAAGTTTTAAGTGTTTATTGGTCTGGGGCACTATGAGACATTCTATCTAAAGTAAAGGATACATTTTTGCATTATGCATTTCCTATCATAAAAAAGAAGCAAAGTGCCTGGCAGACCTCTCTGTACTTTGTAGTAAGCATATTTGACACTATCGAGTACTGTTCTAATTCATCCACTAGGTGCTGTATTTGAATGGCCTTCAGGGTAAGAATGGGCTCTATAGCAAGTCTAAATTTCACCATAAATGAGGTGGAATTTATGGCAAGTTTATGGGAAGATCATAACAAAATTCTTAGGGTTTTGATAAAACTCTGCTATCTACAGCACAGGATTGTATACATTTCAAAAATAAAGCCCTGGTGTTTTACTGAATTCTGGGTAGAGAAATAACATCTGACCATGGAACAACAAATAACCATGCAGGCAAAACTACCCATATGAGCTGGGGACTGTCTGAACCATCAAGTTATTAGGTTGAGTGGATACAGAGCAATCACTGTAACACGGCATTAGTACATCCAGGATTGACCACAGCATGACTAGAGGGCAGAGGCAAACAGTATGAGCAAGTAGCCCAGGACTTCATGCTATTCACCACTTTTGCATCAATATCTCTTCTTCAGACCACACTTACGCCTCCAAGAGAGAACACTTCCAACTCTAATGGAGGAGAAAAATGTCAAGCTTGGTTCATTAATGGGTCAGCTTGGTATGTGAGTCCAAGTCAAAAAGGATGAAGATAAATTATAGCCTCGCTTACGGTGATCTTGAAAAATAGTAGTGAGGAAAACGCCTCCCAATGGACAGAGTTTCAGATGGTACCCAGTCATTCACTTTGTGTGGAAAGAGAAGTAGTTTGAAGTTAGAATATGTATAACTCATAGGTAGTGATAAATGGCTTAGGAGGCTTTTCAGGTGGCTGGAAAGAAAAAGATAGAAACACTTGGAAAAAAGAAGTCTGGAACAGAGGCACATGCATAAACATATAAGAGTGAAGGTATGAAGTGTTGCATTATTTGTATTACATGCTAAAACTACAAGATGGAATCCATCATAGAAAATGAATTAAGCAACTAGGTAGAAAACGTGACTTGGCGAGCAGTTATTGTCAAGAGCTTCTGACATTTGCCCTCATTATCCTACCTGCAATGCTAGAGCAATGAGCTTATGAATGAAGCCACCATGATAGTAGGGATAGAAGCAATGCATGGGTTTAACAGCATGCATTATAGCCACTGGTCAAACATCCAGTCTTCCATCAATAAGTGTCCCATGCAATGACTGGATAAAATAGTTTCCCATCAAAAGATCAACCAGTTATTTAATGTCAAGTTGATGACACTGGACTTTTTCTACTTTGAATGTAGCAATTTTTTTTGGTAGGAATAGATACACATACTCCAGGCATGGGTTTCTATTCCTGAACATAAGTTCTCAGCCAGCATGACTGTCTAAAGGCTTATAGGATGTTTGACGCAGCAGCAGGAGATCCCACATACCATTGTATCAGAAAAAAGGGCCGACTTAATGGCAAAGAAAGTGTAGGAGTGGACTTATGACCATGGAATCCATTGGCCATATCACATATTGCACTATCATAAGTGATCTATTAGAGTCATGGAGGGATCTGTTGAAGCTACACCTGAAATTCCAGCTCAGATGAAATGTCATCCTTCAAGACCCAGTACTTTAAATCAATTATCTTTCTATGGTGCTGTGTCCTCACTAGGAAGAATGCATGGTTTAGAAACCAAAAGGTGAAAGCCCTTCTTAGAATCCCTACCAGTAACTCATTTGAGAAATTTGTGTTTTTTTTCTCCACAATTATAAGCTCTGTGAGTTTAGAGGTTCTAGCTCTCTAAAGGGAAATATTCCCACTAGGGGGTACAAAAGGTACACTAGGAAGTGTATACTTTGTTTAATTATGATGGTAAATGACCAAAGGCAATGAGATTAACTAAAAAAAGCCATAGTGATCAGGGGCTCAGACACTTCCGGATCATGACACCAGGTAAACCACTGAGAGCAGGAGAGGTGCCAGATAAGGGTGAGAGCAACACAGAATGAATAGTAAGAAGGAGATGGTGACCATAGTTTGTAGGACTTAAGACCAGCCGCAGTGGTGGTCCTCTTCTAAGTTTCCTCCAGATACAGAGGCCCACTATAGCCCTGTAAGAGCTTTTCCCAGATCTTTTTTAATCAATTAATTAATTAATTTTTTTATACTTTAAGTTCTAGGGTACATGTGCACAACGTGCAGGTTTGTTACATGTGTATACATGTGCCATGTTGGTGTGCTGCACCCATTAACTCGTCATTTACATTAGGTATATCTCCTAATGCTATCCCTGCCCCCTCCCCCACCCCACACCAGATCTTATACAAAGGAGTAGATCTGAAATTAAAGGAATAGACAGTGTTGGAAGTTATAATGCTTTACTCAGATAACACTTTCAGAATGAAGGCATTATTACTTCAGCTGCTAGATGTGCTACAGGTAGATAGAGCTCAGCTGAGATCCTTCTTTCTGGGTTGCCTCAGCTAAACAGAGTTGCTTCATCTAAACATATGGCCCTTTTCCATGTAATCTGCATTCAACACTGACCAACAAGGAGATTTAAGGCTTGCCGTTGGCCTCAGCTCAGAACATCAATGAATTGTCATCTCATATTGAGAACTTCCTACAGGGTTCAGTGAAACTTTAGTAGTTTGCATTACAAACTTCCAAAGTAGGTAGTTTGCATTACTTCCTTTCCTCAATCATGCTACCCACCCTTTCCTTTGAAAGATGTTGATCCAAAAAATGTTCCCTAGTAAACTTTCTAAATGCTGATCTCCATCCCTGAGTCGGCTTCCTGGGAAACTCCATTCTCATCTCTCTCTCTATATATATATCTATATATAAAATATATACATTATATATGTAATATATAAAATACATGTATAATATATAATACATATGTATTATATGTATACAGGGAACAAGAAGAGTGAAACATTTAAGAAAGAAAGTTAATTTAGGGATGCATTAGCCAGGTTGTGTGTAATGAGAGCTCAGTTCTCTAAAGGCCTTCTGAAAAGCACACAGGATGTTTTTGCCTGAAGGGAGAGCTGCTGGACCATTTATTCCTAGTTAAAATTCTTCATTGTTGGAGGATTTCCCCTAGGGTCATTAAGCATTTTGTACTTCTAGGCAGCACTTGTCTATATGCCAAATGGGCTCCCATGGTGTCAGACAAGCCTTGGGGCCAAGGGAAGCCCTATACAGCATACTTGAGGTAGGTCACTGTCAATATGTGTGAGATAATCTGAGTTCACACACAACTGTCCCTTGCAGCTCTGCTGAAATTAGAGCTGGGCTGAAGAGATGTGATACACTGGTACTAGAGGCATCTACTTTAGAAGGTGAGATAGAAATGCTGTATTTTACATTTACAACCATAGGAATGGAGGTGTGCTGGCTTTTACCATGAACTCCCCCAGATAGTGTTCTGAAAAGCAGAGGAGGCCAACTAAAATAAAATCACAGGGAAAACTATATTTGCAGGAAGAAGATAATCTCAAGAGAAGCAGAGATTAAGAGTATTCTTGAATTTTGCATAGTAAAAACCATCTAGTCTAAGACTGTCTCCCCTAACCAAGGACCTTTTACAAATAGTTGATCCAGGGGGAAAAAAAAAAGCATCTACTTCAATGATTAGTAATTTAAAAGGAACTGGAAGAGATAAGACATATGGATGCATACATATATAAAAATAGCTAGATAGAGACCTGCAGGTGATAATATACAAGAAAGAAAATGGGGAAAGGAAAAGCAATCTGAATAGACAAAAAACGAAACCAGTAGTTAGTGGTTATGAAGTGGATGAAAATCGAAGGGTGGGATAAGAGGCAGGTTGATTCTGAACATGGAAAAATCTACAAGACTGAGATTCTTTAAAACATCAAACTACTCTTCTACTTTAATATAATATCAAACTCAAATTCACAACCAAAGTGGTAACATTTCATCACTAATTTGAAAAATTCTAAATAAAATAAAGGAAAAATAACACACACACAAAACAGAGAATATATAGATTTTCTAGAATGCACAGCATAGTAAAGACAAACATGAGTAAAATTATGGTGAAATTTAAGCCATGAGGGTCAGTGCATCTTAATGCCCTGGGACATTGTACTTGAGGGTTTACCAGTAGATTAATACCCTTTAAGCATGAGAATTACTGATTGAGAGAACTTCAAATGAATTTGCTTCTAGTGTGTTGATAAAGTTAAATGTGATTTATCATAGGTGGGTAAGAATATGGTTGGTAGATAGGAGACAACAGGGCTAGGATATTCAGAAAATAACCTCCAGCAAGCTTTGTAAAAGCAAAAGCATATATTGATGTAAAAACTTTACATATGTAATTGCATGATATACCATCATGTTGCTCAAACTGCATTAAAGTGTGATTGAGAATTCACCACAATGTATGTTGATGTAATAGTAAATATCAGATTATGTCATAA